>NC_000006.12:162192002-162343517 GCF_000001405.40 Homo sapiens
CATGTAACTACAACGTAAAATGAAACAATAAGACATATGAAAAACGTTCTTTAGAGAACCTTATTTTTTCTTTTATGCTTTGTAGGTACTTTAGGTTGAGTTTTCTCAAACCCTTCTATGTAGTATCAAGAAATATTTCTCTTATAAATATTTTAAAAATGTATCATCCTGCACAATGAATAAGATTGTAGATCACTTAACCAATTTCCAATTATCTAAATTAATGACTGCATGTCACTACTAACTGACAGACTTTGTAAAACTTTTAATATCTTTTACATAAAAAGTAAGTAATACTGGCTTGGTGTACCTCATTGCCATAATGATATGCATATGTGAAATTAGAAAAAGCACTATACAAATATCATAACAATTAAATATTTAGGTAAAGTCTGAGCTTAGCTCATGATTTATGGTAAGCATTCAATAAATTATAGGGATTTTTTTTTTTTTTTTTTTTTTTTTTTTTAGATAAGGTCTCGCTCTGTCACTCAGGCTGGAATGTGGTGGCATGATCATGGCTCACTGCACCCTTGACTTTCCAGGCTCAATGGATCCACCTGCCTCGGTCTCCCAAGTTGTTGGGCCTACAGGCACATGCTACCACGCCCAGCTAATTTTTTTTTTTCTATTTTTTGTAGAAGCAGGTTCTCACTATAATAGTAGTCACTCCTTATAGTATACATACAACAAAACCATGTACTTTGGAAGTAATGCAATAAGTAACATGTTTTAAAATATATACACATACTTTTTCAGAGTAATATGCTTTTAACTTCCTGCCCACAATTTTGAGAATTTCAAACTAGCAGCATGGGTCAAGCGCATGGCTGGGTATCAAAACAAAAACACTGAGACACTCTACACAACAAAATGCAAAGCGACATCTGGTATGTTCCCATCTCTCCAGGGTCCTCATGATGCTGAGCTTTTGAGCATTCTAAAGGTACACTTGGGGAACTTGCGTCTGCAAGACCGACTTCTTTTTCTGTCTCCCTTTTTCTTAAAGAGTAGTGAGTAAAATCATTACCAAACAAACAAAAAACAGTTATCATTACAGAGGGATCTCTATTAAAGAAGCAATGAAAGGCTAGCACTACTGTGGGCTGGATGAAAATAAATAGCTGGATTGAAAAGTCAATGAATTACCAACATTGACCCACATTTCTCTAGACTTTAATTAACTGACATCATCCCAATGAATAACATATGATAAATAAAATCTTAATTCTAAAATACTAGGCAAAGGACAAAGGCTCTCAACGTACGCATTTCTGTGATACAGAAGAGTAACAACGAATTGGCTAAAATTGCCGGCAGCTCAGCTAGATACCATTTTACTTATTTCAGATCAATGCTGGGTTTCTCCCTCTTCGCCAAAGCTGAATGTGCATCACTCTGGCTTTTGCCCAGGTCCCCACATAGACTTTGATAAAATACTTACTCAGTCCACCTTCGGCTATCACTCCTCCCTGAACTCGTCTATCCCCTCCATCCTCTTCTTCTCTTAACTATGCCTCTGCTCCATGAGACCCTCAGCTAAACATTGGAGGAGTCTTTGAGAGCCATTCAAATGATCTGATGTTTTCCTAAAAATTAGTGTCTTTGAACAAATGAAGCTTTTGTGACCTATACATGTGTGTCCTATGGCCATTTGTAGGAGTTGGTTCTAGGAAGGCTGCTGAAAATCCATTCACCAAAGGCTGATTCACTGGCTGGCCAACTTACCTAATCGTTTACTCAAAAGTTCTAAAATTTGATTATTTATGAACTGCACAGTGTGGTCTTTGGTGTCCTGAGCTCTTCAGGTCCCCTCCTGGCCCCTCAGTGTACAACTGCCTGGAGCTGTTGCAGAAGGGAGCAGGGGCATAAACAATGAACATCCCTAAAATGCTCCTAGGAAGAGAAGAGGTGTTCACCTATAACCTGAAAAGTCCTGGAAATTCAATATAAAATACAGAAGATCCTAAAAGCTGATTAAAAGAAACATATTTTTGGTAAACCAACAAACAAAGAAAATGATTTGGAAAATGTTTTTTAAATCTGGAGTAACAGAAAAACAACTAAAATAGAGATTAGAAAGAAATCGGTATAAGCCAAGAGTTCCCATATGGAATTTTGAAGTTTAGGTTATATTTATAACAATAGACGTACAAGTATATTAAAGAAGAAAACGTTCTTAAGAAGATGAATTCACCTGTATTTCATAACTTTCAACAAATTGATCATTCATTAAAATCTGCTAAGAAATTATTGACCATTTTGAGAATAATCAAATACAGAATACAATAAAAATACTTGAATAAATTCCAAAAGAATGTTTCAAAACAATATTATTCCTTATATTAGTAAATGTGGTAAAAATCAGCAAAATAGTAAGTGAGAAAATTCAATGGTATCCATATGAGGTGTGTGTTGGTGGAAAAGAACATTTACGGGTTTGAAACCCAGGCATGAATTATCAAAATGAGTCTCAAGAAAATGGCAGTAGCAGCATTTACTTACAATTTTAAATTCCTTCTACTGGCTGATACTGATGCCCTGAAATGGTTTCGATCAACCGTCTTTAAGGAGACCCCTTTACATATATATTGTATACAGTATGCAAATTCTAAATGTAAACTATCAAGAATAATACATGTATAAAAAATAAATCATCAAAATTTTAAGTTCTTTATGGTAATCCTTTTTTATATGTTTATTTTTATATGTTTACTATGTTTTTTATATGTTTATTTTTACCTTAACCTGGCTCTTTTGGAAGTATTAGCTTTGGTAAAAGGGAAAAAGAGGAAAATATTTTAACCTTTCTCACTTCTCTATCGACTGGCTCTTTGCGAGGTGAGTGTGCATCATTTGTGTGTGGATGAGAGCCCGTGATAAGGACCAAGGAGAACACAAGCAAAGAGAGTGGGCGTGAAAAGGAGATGAAGTAAGAAGCGTCCACAAGGCCAAGAGAAATCTCGTGGCAGAACAGATGGTGGCGTGAAGGGCGACAGTGAACACGGGGGCCACCCTGGCTTTGGTAGATGCCAGACATGCATTGTGTTCTGCACACTTTCCACCCTGGAGCTTATGAATCCACACAGAAACCAGCTTCGCTGTAGATTTAACACTGTAACGCGATGCAAAACAGAATGCATGGTGGCCGGTTCCACTCTCACTGTCGGGACATCCAAAACATGCCCTACAAATACTGTCAATAACATAAAATAATGCGTAATGCCTCCTCCACTGTGCTTTCAAAGCACTGAAACGCCTGATAACCAAATCTACAATAAGCAAAGAGGGGATATCACACACTTAGGCAAAAACACCCCATGTGAAAACTAGAAAGTAAGCTTAGGTCTATTCTAAGACTTGAATTTCTTACATAAATGTGAGAGTAATTTTGATAACAAGAGAGGTAAGAAGACTCCTGGCCAACAATTAATCTGTAACAAATATTAAGCTTAGGAATGATTTTACATTTAGACTGTATTTCTTAATAAATTTCCTCACATAAATTGTGCCTAATCTATAAACTAATTTTAAACAAAATCCATCATGCCAGGCACTTTACATCTTACTCTATTTATTGCACCATTTCTCATCAGAAACCTTTTAGCTTTAATGCTATTCCATGGCAGAGTATCTCATTAGAGTGGCAAAGATAAAGTTCTTTTTGAGATAAAGTAATTACGGTGATTGTAGCGGGGAGGGGGTCACCCAAAGTTCTTGGCTACAGTAATCTCCTGGCTTCTGATTCATTTTAAGACCAATAAACTGAGTACAAACAAAAAGATGTTAATGGTGGATAACTCTGGTTACCTAGAGTTTGTCCTGGAGGGATTAGCAATTCATAACCTTAATCAGAACTAGAGTCCTGGAGAATTTTGCTCCCAGGAAAATATTTCAAGACCAGATGCTGTATGTGCTCTCAGCTCACTTCTATGTCAATTCTATCTTCTAATTATTATTAAAGTCAATCAAGTATTTCACTCTATAAAAAGCCTTACTATATTTTAAGCCAATTTTCTGTTCCAAAGACTAGTCAGTTACTTCCTATCCCAGGGGCTTTGCTTTCTTGAGGAGGCACAAGTCAGTTGAAATATGGGCTATGGCCAAGACAATGATAGTAGCAAGGGACAGGACTCCTCAGCCATGATCAGAAAGAGTACTGTTAGGATTTAGTGAGAAGCCTTCAGGGGAAGGAGGAGGCTTGGTTTTCAAATCATGCCAAGGGACAGACTTACCATTGCCATGGAGTCAAATTAACCTTACCAGCCCAGTCAAAATAATTAAAAATTAATACAGTCTCTGATAAAGTTTGTTGATATAAATTGGTGCTAGGGAAATATTTCAAGGAAACAATGACATGAGTTATTTTAAATTATTAATTTCATTGGTCAGGAACCCAATCAGAATTAAATATGCACATATAAAACAACCTCCCTTGTGTGTTCAACTCTGTCTCATTTCTGCATGGACCTCAGTGGATGACTTTTGAAGAAGCAGATGAAAAGTGAATGCTTGCCAATTAGCTATTGTTCACCGTTTTCCAGTAAGCATTCATATTTCTAAAGGATTATAGTCTAGTCCAAACTCTGATCAAGGTCACCATGCAAGAAAGAGGATATTCTGATATGGAGATGAAGAAAATTTGAGTCCGGGTTGGTTCTCAACTTACCTATGAGGTCAGGTGAAAACTTCAGACATCAGTTCCCCATGCCTAACATCAGGACAAAATTAACTATCCATTTCCTTTACAATTTGTTAGAGTATCATATTAAATGTGAAACATGATTAAACTGGAGCATCACATTTGAAAAGCAACTCATTATTATTACATGTAAATTTTAAATAGCATTCAGGAAATGTTAGAATTAAGAACAAATCACCAATAAAAACTTTAGAAGATTACCATTTAGACTCATGATATGAGTGGATCTCGTTGCAAACTGATTTTTCCAAATGAGAAAAAATACAATTATACTTTCAAAAATAACCCAGGTGGCTAACCAGGTTCCAGTTTTCCTCCTTAGGTATAAAAATCTTGCTGAAGTTCACATAAACCACATGCTGCTCACCTATAACTAGTCAGCCACACAAGATCCTATATTGTATTTTTGTTCTTGATCAGAGACAATTATGTAAGTTATCGATCCTTATAAAGTTCTAGAAAATGAAACCTCAGAATTGCCTATTATTCACACAGCAATCTTTACACTTGGCAAAGTTTAGCACCTACTCCATTATTGCAAAGCCTAAATTTGCTGGTGAATCAGTAGTGTGACTGGTCGGCTGATCCACAGAAATATTATTTGTAGGTGTTACTGAATGTGTATTTTTGTTATTGAAAAATTGAAACATCTGATCTTCTCCTATGGACTAGCTACACTAGATCTAGTTACTGTACTAAAATATGGATTATATAAGTTATCTTTGATTTAATTGTCCCTAAATCCATAAGCATATTTTTTTCAAGAGTATGTTTCAGTTATATTTTAAGTACAAGGGAAGTAGTTAGAAAATAGAACACTGATTACTAGATTTGTATAGTGAGGACTATATCCTAGTAAAGGCCAGGGCTATGGAAAAATACAAAGCAGATTTTTCACTCCTGGCTTCGATATTTATGAACTGTGTAACTTTGGGCTCATTACTTAACCTCATGGAGTCTCTTTGTAAAAACACTGGATGAGAATTGGAGAAAAATAGAAATACAAGAATATAAGGATAAGGAAGGAAATCAGTACACTGTAGTGAAGCCATCATAATTGCTATGCTTCATTTCATTATATGATGCCAGACAGAATTTCTAAAGGGTATGAATTCATGGAGTCAACATAGAAAATTTCGAATACAAATGCTATTTATTCAGCATTACTTGATTCGTGTCTTTCTATGGACAAGGCACTTTGTGAGGTGTTAAACATAAACTAGAGACCCAAGCTGAAAGTTATCTGATCTTATAACAAGGCTTACAGGCTCTTCGAACATAGACAAGTAAGGACACTTTGGTAGAATGAAGGGCAGGAAGTGAATGATACCTGCAATACTGGAGTTGACATTTTGGCCCCTCAGGTAGGAAATGAAGAGAGGAGAGGCCAACAGCTCTAGAAAAACTTCAGAGAAGGGTCAATGATATGCAGAGCAGAAAACAGTGCTTGGGGAAGAAACAGCATGAATTTAAATATCAAAGGTGGAGCATCTCTGGGAACTGAGAAAAATCCCAGGTGGTCACATGACTGGGCTTTGGAGATAGAGGTGGAGCCGAGACTACAAAACACAGGGATTGAACATCCCTCCCAGGATGCTGGGCCTGGGGAGCAGGGTGGCATGACATCATCACAGAGCCTCAGCCTGAGATGGAAATGCTCACAGCCTCTTGATGCAGAGCAGTAGAGGTAGGGGTGGTTTTACTTCTCTGAAATCAGTTAGCCAAAGCCTAGATTGATTTCATACATGAGTATATATAAATATATATACATACATACATAAAATAGTAATATTAATAGAATAACAATAAAGAATTTTACATTTCTAAATATTTATGTTCTGGCTACTGTTCTAAGTACTCTTCGTAAATGAGCTAATCTGCACAAAAGGAAATAGATACTATTGTACCATTGAATAGATATTACCAAGTTGGCATAGGTAAGAGCAAAGGAAGTCAGGATTCTAATGGGGCAGACTGGCTCTGGCTAACTGATTTCAGAGAAGTAAAACCACCCCTACCTCTACTGCTCTGCATCAAGAGGCTGTGAGCATTTCTTAGGCTCACAGGTCATCACCTCTCAGCCAAGCCTTACTGTTCCTGAGGATTACGACATGTCAGGCTCTGGTAAGTACCTACTATTAATGTACCATTTAGTCCCCACAACACTCTATTTTGGCTTGTTATGTTTAGGCCAATGCTACAGGTTGGTTTTCTTTCTGTTTTTCTATTTTTTTCCCACACAAAGCATATTATTAAATGAGAAATCCCATGTAAAATTCCAGATTGATGATTTCTTTTGATTAAAAAGAAAACAATACAGCCATACTGAGTTTCCCTCTCACCTCTTGCCAGCAACTGGCAGAAGCGACTTTTCAACATGAATTCCACCTCACCCTTCCACTACTGTCCTCACCGCCCCCTACTGCCCACATCTAACCTAACTTCTCATCACCTGAGTGATCACTGTGGACATATGAGTATGTGACATCTATCGTAATTATATCTGTGTGTTAAAAAAAAAAAAAGCTGAAAAGCTAAAGGAGTTAAATGTTTAGATTAGACAGTCCAGGTTCAACCTCCAAGTCCACACTCATAAGTTCCTCTTTTCTTGGGCAAATGCCTTAATCTCTTTAAGCCTTATTATCCTCACATCTAAAATAGGGTTACTAATAATGCTTAACTGAGAGTGTTCTTATGAAATAATTAAACCAGATAATGCCTGAAAAGAATTTAGCTTGGAATTCAATATTCATTTTTATTGCCATTTTTACCAAGAATACCAGGAAGTTGGTATAAATAGGTCATATATGCCACCTAAAGCAATCAGGACTTAGGCACAGATTGGGGTAGATGAGGTTGTGTCTTGTGTTGAGAAAGCCAGAGGAGAGGAGCAAGTGGAAGCAACCCCTCTTGGGGACATTGGGCCTGCAGCATGCTGCCCGGCAGGAGAGCTGCCCAAGAACTGTCCCAGAAAGAGCCCCGTGGGCATCATTCTTGTGTGGCTTTGACTCTATAAATGAATTTCTCTAGACAGCTGAAATGTTCATCAAAGTGAAACACTGAATCACAGCTTTCTGTAATTCCACCATTTTCTCAGGCCTGAGAAGATGGATCCATGATTTCTCCTTTATTAGGTGGATCTTTTGAGTTCTTTCACAGGCCCCGTAACACCCATTCTACAGGGCTGCCACCTTGACCCTGGCCCACAGCTCCTCATCTGCGAACCAGATGAAATGCGCCTTAATTAGCCTCTTGTCTTTCACCTGTCCCCATCTTCAAGTCTAATGGCAAACTGTCCTCAGCATGAACTGTCCTCAATAGCGTTTGACACATCACCCTGGTTTATACAATTTTGCTGTGGTTTCCGTCAGCTTGCAGAATAGAATCTGAACATGCCAGTCATCACTGGGGTTCCTGGCTGGTGCCTGGGGTATTTACCCACACTTGCACACCTGACTGCCCCCAGCACTGTGTCCTTGACACCCCCGTGTCTGTGTTCTCTCCACCGCGGGGACTGGACACGCTCGGCCTGCATGCCCTCTATTGCAACCACATCACATCCAGCCAAATCCCTTGGAGCCACCGAGCCGGAACCTGACACTTTCTATCGGGGTCAGCAAACCTGTTCTCTAAAGAACCAGTGAGTATGTATTGCAGGCTTTGTAGGCCACCCAGTCTGTTTCCCAGCTACTCCACTCTGCACTTAAAGCAGGAAAGGAGCTGTAGGCAACATGTACAGAAATGGGTGGGGCTGGCTCTCCATTAAACTTTATTTATGGACATGAGAATGTAAATTTCATGGGTCACATAATGTTATTCATCTTTTGATTTTTCCCAACCATTTAAAGCCATAAAAACCAACTTTGCGTCAGGGGCTGCACAGAAACAAGCAGTGGCCACAGCAGACTTCAGTTGACTGACCCTTGCTTTATATGCATACTGTTTGCTGATCCATACTCTTTTTTTACTTTTTAAAATTAAGGTATAACGTACATTTGGTGCACCAATCTTAACGCAACAGCCCAGTGAATGTTGACTTTTGTATATAACCATGCTACCATCACACAGATCAAGATACAAAACATTTTTAGCAGCCTAAGGTTCCTAAATGGTCCCTTCTAATCACACCGTAACAGAAGCCCAACCTCTTTTTGCTGCCAAAGCACTCTCCATACTTCCTTTCATAGGCCTGGATAAAGTAATGGGGAAACAACCCTGTGTAATCTAAACTTTCACAGAGCAGAAAGAAATCCAGAAGACAAAGGCGCATAAACGAAACTTCGGCTATCATTAACTATCACAACCACAGAAGAGAATGTCTTTTCTTTTCAAAGACGGGTGATACATCATTAGAAAAACTGAAAGGCAATGTGTTAGTACACATTCATTTTCCTGGCAGTCTCATGCTGACACTGCATTTCCTTACCTGGGTCAAGGTGAGCGTTGCCTGCCTGCAGGTGCTGCACTGTACCCTGAGTTTTCCCGGCTGCACTCTTTGACAGGGGCCTTTGCAATACACATAAAAGCTGTTGTAGATTGATCTACCTGCTGGAGAAGAAAAAGCAGAAGAAGTGGCTAATAATGCTGCATCTAAATTGAGACAAGAAACTCTTTAAAAGCTTGTTAGAGGCAAATTTTAAAACTCAGTCTTCAGGAACATTTTGAAACATTACTGGAATAAATATTCCAATGGGAATACAACAATTTAATTTAGAAAATCTAACTTTATGCTCCAAGAGTGAAATCTTTTCTCTCTCTTGCCAACAGCCCTGTGACTTACTCAGCAAAGTAAGCAGCCTACTGCCAAGAGAATCGGGCAAGTGTATCTGCAACACAGTAAAATCAGAGGCACTCTTTGCCGAGGAAGTTTGAAAAGATGACAGGAATTCTTTCAGGATGCTCCTGAATTCTATCTCGTGCTTCCAGACACAGTTTTGAAGACTGCAGATTTTTCCTCATAATATCTACAGAGAAAAACCAGCCCATTTATCGTGATATAAATGATATGATCACAGTTTGCTGGGCTTCTAGGGTTGACTTTCTAACTCACAGTCACACATAAAATAAGAAAAGAGGCCAACGCTGAGGAACTTTCAGAGACCAAGCAGCTATGTGCAGAAATGGATGGTTTGCATTTCATTTATGATCTCTCTACCTAGGCAAACACCATTCAAATAATACATTTTCAAGAGTAAAAGGTGAACAAACAACTAATTCAATAGTTCAATCTCAGATCATTTCTCTCAACTGTCACCATATAGGGACACTCTGTAAACTAGGGAAATTTAATCAATTTATACTTCCATATCTGTTAAGAATTAACTTTATTCAGAAGCACTTACCAGAAATACAACCTTCTTCCTGAATTTCTAAATTTTGAAAATTACTAAATAGTTTTTTCTTTTAATCCTTACCTGGGTGGATAATATAACAGATCATGACATAAAAGTTTCTTTGAAATTTTACTATGATCATCAGAGGCACCTAGAGATAATATATTTTTTTTTAACATTTGGAATGAAAATCTTCAGCCTCACAAATGCATATGATCTATTAAAAACAACTAGAACAAAAATAATGAAAAAAATGAGATTCTAAAGTCCTTTGCAGCTTCATTTCCCGAATTTACAAAAAGAGCTTTTGCAGACATATTGGATTATCATTTGTTTAGCTATCTTTCCTAATACTGTAGGTGACAATACTTTGCAAAATCTGAAGCACAACAAAGATGTAAAGTTTCATGGTTTTATCATTTGTTTGCAATATATTTTATAATTATTACTCTATAAAGATTAATATTTAGTTTCCAGTGGGAAATGGAAGATAAAATGTAAATACATGTTTATATTGATGTGAAAGTACTATTTTCTGACACTTCTGTGTAACTTTAATGCCCTAATGTACAACATATTCAAGTACATAAATATGACATTGCTGTTAGCAAACATAATAATGACATAAAATGTTTCACATGTAATATACATGCAGCATAGAACCATGTATTAATGTTATAGAAATATTTGTAACAACTGACTGAAATATCTGTAATATGTAAGTAAATGTTAATGGAAATATTTGTAACATAAATATTTGCAACATGCAGAGTATCAAAAGATCACAAGAACTGTGACAATTCTGACGTGCACTAAGAAGTGCATAGAAGAAGAAGTGCTTAGAAGAAGAACCTTTACTGTTAAAACCTTTATCAGCAACAGGAACAAATCCAATTTCACAATTTTTATAACCTTTTGTAAAGGTCAAACAATAAAAAGAAAAAAGGAGGAAGAAAAGGAACAGGAAAAGCAAAAGCTTTGAAAGGGGAGTCAGGGCTGCAAATACGCTAGCATTGTTGAAAGAGCATATTAGCAAGAGTTTTACAATATTAAAAGAAGCATCTCAGAAATTGCAGGAAACTAAGTGACTCTTCTCTCTCCCTTAAGGCAATAGTGATGTTTGCAATATTGTTTCAGCTAATGATATATCAACGCAGAATCTGAAAGCTAAGGAACTTTTCCACCTCCGAATGCTACTACCTTCGCTGAAGTCCTTCAGAAGTTATTCAGAAAATACTGTATGCCAATGTCTGTGCCCTAGAAGCATACAAGATGACATGCAATCTATTACACACACTGCTTTCCAGACCCAGCCACAAGTTGGGGATTAACAGCCAGTCTAAGGAAGATCAAGGTCAGGCCAGTCGTGGCTGCAGCGCTTTTCAAGCTGTTGGCTCCACTTGGTCAAGCAGCTGGGGCATCAGGTAAATCTTGAGAGCCCCTCCAGAACGGCTTCCCTATTTATTTAGCTACATAACACAATTAAAAGTTGGCAAGGTTTTCTGTGTCATGCTGTGACCTGGACAGGCATGAAAACAAATAACACCCCGACAATCTTCTGGGCAAGGTTCCCATCGGCCTGGCTGAAGGGCCTAAAGTAGAAACTCTTGAATATGGAGTCATAACTCTTAGAGGAATGGCAAGGCAATTCCAAAAATGACCTGAGAAACCTTTCTTGTGGTATGTAGCTGTCTCTAGTCAATAGCATGAATCTCACCCTTTCACTTGTTCTTGGACCTTAAAATCCTTTCTCTCTCCTAATCAACTCTTCTGTATGGCAGCTTCTTGATTATCCCAATAACTAAAGTAGCTTATGTTTGTGTTCATAAGAGTTTCCTCTTTTTGTATAGTAAGTTTTGAAACATAGAGAGATATTTCAAAAATTGTACAAATCACATCCTTCATTGTAATTCATCACTTGCAGATATTTCGCCACGTTTGGGTTCCCTGTGCGCGTGTGTGTGCATATAGCTGTGTACACATATACTACATGTATAAACTATTTGGTTGAAGGATCTGTAACACAGTTTCTGACATCATGCTACTTCACCTCTAAATTCTTCAACATCCTAAAACTAGGGATGTTTTTCATATAAAACCATTTAGCTTTTTAAGTGATTTGGTTATTTTGTAGTTCTATTCATAGACTAATCAGGTATATTTTAAGTAGGCATTACAGAAAATGACAGTGGTTTGCAAGCTAATAAAAGATGACAATAAAAAATATTGGGGATTCTCTCGTCAAACCAATTTAGGTGGTGCTAAGTGAAGCCACATTAAACAAGTCCCCTGACCATACCCCTTCTCAGAGCTGAGTGACTCTGTAAAAATGAAAGGATGAAGCACAGGACATCTCAAACTTCTCCTGACCATAGATGCCTTCCTGGAATGCTGCATCGTGTGACACTGTACTTCTCAGAAAAAAACAATTTAGAAAAAAATATCAGATGAAGGATTCAATCCACTTGTAGGGCTTGATTTATAGAAAGTGAAACTGCTCATGTTTATAAACCCAGATTTACCAAATTCTCCTGGATATCTGCCTACGGCCAAGTTCTTTCCTCCAACCCAAAACATCAACGAACTCATATAATTACTTTGTCATGTGCCAGGAGGTTAAGTCTACTTATGTAATGATTTTGCAAATAAAGTATGTTAATTTTATTCAGAAGTTTTGTTTTTTTTTTTTCCTGCAGAGAAGTTAAAAAGAAAAGTGTACTGAGTTCAGGGCCCTTTTAAAGCGTGAGTCACCGTGGCCATTCAGAGGTCCACTGGCTTTCTACCATTCCTTAGCCTAAGAAGTCCATCTTCTTCTTCTTTTTTTTTTTTCTTTTTTCTTTTTTGAGATGGAGTCTCGCTGTGTTGCCCAGACTGGAGTGGAATGGTACAATCTCGGCTCACTGCAACTTCCTCCTCTTGGGTTCAAGTGATTCTCCTGCCTCAACCTCCTGAGTAGCTGGAACTACAGGCGTGCACCACCACACCCAGCTAATTTTGGTATTTTTAGTAGAGACAGGGTTTCACCATGTTGGCCTGGATGGTCTTGATCTCTTGACCTCATGATCTGCCCACCTCAGCCTCTCAAAGTGCTGGGATTACATGCATGAGCCACCACGCCCGGCCAAGTCCATCTTCTTCTTTAGTTTTCTCTCACGCTTTGCCTAACAGAACCCTCAGTCAAATCTTCTCTTTTCCTTTCTTTTCTTGGTCAAAAAAGTTGCTGAAATAACAATGTTTACAACATATTGAATAGAGCCAATATTTGAAAATAGTATATTTTATTTGCTTGGGATTTTTTAGAAACCAGTATAATCTTTACAGTTATCATTTTTCTTTTATGTATTTTAGATAATAGGCTTAAGGGTTGAAGACAGGATACTTAGGAAGAGTCGTTCTGATTCTAATGGAAACTTTTCATTAACCTGAGAAGTTTCCATCACTAGTTGTCACTGAGAATTTAATTGCTGGGATAATTTGTTTTCTAGGTGGGGAGAGAGTAAGATTTAACATATTTCTTACCTTGGTAAAATACTGTTCAGTATCAACATATTGTAACAGAGCAAAACAGCAGGAACAGGACGGATTTTAAGTGATATTTATCACATGAGCTATTAAAATATTAAGTAGAACAATGTCACCCAAGAGAACTCTCTGCAATGATGAAAATGTTCTCCATTTGCACTATCTCATATTAATATATACACACACAGACACACACACACACGTACATAGCATATGTAGCCATTAGCTACAACTACCTATGGAGAACTTGAAACTTAGTGAGGAATTACTCTCTGAGTTTTATTAATTTAAAGTAGTTTCAATTTAAATAGCTGTCTGTGGGTAGCAGCTACCAAACTAGAAAGCACAGAAGAAGAGAATAAAAACCACTGGTGTGGCTGGTCCCCTCTTCAACTGACAACGCGGAGACTCACTGGGCAGTGAAACAGCTTGTTTTAATCTGTGCTCATATAAAAATAATGTTGGCCCGAGAGAAGGAGAAGGAAGAAGGTTTTACTCGTGGCACTGGGGTAGGACAGAAACAGGGGGGACTTCCGTAGTGCTAGAAGCAGAGAAAAGGTTCTCGCCATCATGTGCCCTTATTTCCTACACCAAGGGGATCTGTTCTTGAGACGCACCTGGACAGCAATGGCTCCATCTCCATTTCCATCACCACCTTTGAAATCTGACCCATATGCTCAAGGTACAGTTAGACTGGCACTTCTTGTATGATTTCTGCCCTTGATTTCCATTATCATATGATATTTCCCTAAAAATGACATCTAAGAGAAGGAAAGTAGCCAGTGCAGTCTCATCCTCTTCGAACAGCTGGCTTGCACCAACACCACAGAACCAGCTACTGATAAGGAGCTGCTGGCATGAGGCGTCCCCCAAGCCTTTGTCCAAAGCCCCCCACATTGCCAAGCCTGGCTATTGGTGGTTTCAGCTCCTTCCCTCTTTCCTCCTTCTGACTACAGAGTTGTCCTTGTTTCTTACACATCAAGAATGCTGCTGCTGGTGTCATTAGCTCTCATTTTTCAGTTACACCTGCCATATTCCCTCAGTTCAGCCCTGCGCCTAGTCATGCAGGGAGTCACCTCAGTTCTGGTGGAGCCCTGGATTCTCCTGTGGAATAGATGCATGGCCAGAGTTTCTGGACCCGGGACAGGGATCTGGTCAGAAGTAACAGCAGGGGCACAGAACCTTCTTCCTCATCATCCATCAGGATTATTGCTACTGTATTTCTGGGTGCTGGCCTTCAGCAGGGCTTGACCACATTTGCTGGAATACACGTCTCCACAAGGACACAACCAGTATGTACCAAATGAACAGAATCAGCACCACCTCTGATGTCCAGCAAGCGCTTCTTTACACATTATGGAGAGAGAACCCACTTTTCTTCATGTTGAGTGAAGGTATTCATTAGTTCTAGTTTAACCAATATGTACAGAAATAGTCCAAAGTGGTTCCACATGAAATTCATTTGGACTGGACTTCCTGAATCACCTCTTCTAAGGACACCTTGCTTTGGAGCCTTAAAAAGATGGGGATCGGCCTGCCGCAGTGACTCAAGCCTGTAATCCCAGCACTTTGGGAGGCCGAGGCAGGCGGATCACAAGGTCAGGAGATCCAGACCATCCTGGCTAACACGATGAAACCCCTTCTCTATTAAAAATACAAAAAATTAGCCGGCTTGGTGGCCGGACCCCTGTAGTCCCAGCTGCTCGGGAGGCTGAGGCAGGAGAATCGCTTGAACCCAGGAGACGGACGCTGAAGTGAGCTGAGATCCCATCACTGCACTCCAGCCTGGGTGACAGAGCGAGACTCTGTCCCCCCAACCAAAAAAGAAAAAGATGGGGATAACGACCATTTCACCATTATGCAGGTTACTGGGGGAAAAGTTGCTAAACTGGGCAGGTCAAACACGGAGGCTTCATTATCTCACTAGAAATCTCCCTCTAGGGAGCCACAGTCAGCACTCTCTGGAAAGGTCATGCAGCCAACCGATTCACTTGACCGTCCTAACATCCCACTCAGCGCATGGCCCCGTGTCTGCCCATCTTTCCGTCTCACTATGTGAGTGGACCACTCTCTTCAGTTGAACGCTTCCTTCCCTCTCCTTCTGAAGGCTCATGGGACCTCATGTGCACACCACTGGCCCTCAATGCGCTCACCTTGACCTTTCTGTACCTGTCCAAACTTTTCTATGGATACAACCTCTCTGTGTGTAACACTTCACTCTATTTCATATGCTCCAAATGGCTAGTGAAGTTCCCTGAACTCAATAAACACTCAATAGGTATTTGCTAGGTCAATAAATTCTCCCATATTTTTAATGGGGTGAAAACTGAAGTGAGCATGGTGGTGTCAGGGCAACAAATATAAAATAGAATGCAGCCATGATCATTCAATATCTAGAACATCTTTCCTACCAACCAGACACCCTTTAAATTGTTGGGATATCATATTTGAAATCAGTAAAATTAAACATTAGAAAAATTACTTACATAAGAACTAAAATAAAAAAATGTTTATATAGGACTTGGTGTAACTGAATGTTAAGGAGAAAAAGTGAAATTCTAAGTTTACCAACAAGTAGAACTATTCTAAAGGAAGACAGTTATTACATGAACACTCTTCACTCCAAACCTTGTCCAATAGGTTATTACACCCAACTGAATCAAACTGCCTGTTCCATGCTTTTAACGAGCCATAAACTTAACTCCTGTGGAGTAACCAAGGTTATGCTATATTGTAAACAGCTTCCAATTACATAACCATCCATCCAGTGAATGTACTTCTAAAAAATACTTCTAAAACATGCTTAGCAATCTCTAAGGAGACTCTACACTTAAAAGTTATAACTTAATTCTCAAATTTTTGCTGGGGTTTTAAATTAACGTATCTGCACAATAATTTGACCTACTGAGGCAAAAACTGCTGATTAAATCTAATACCTTTTTCTGATTTTTTGGTTGTTGTTGCCAATTTATTTTTTCATTTTTCATTTTGAAAATAATAATGAAATTTCCCATACCAAGACAAAACTGTAGAGTGAAGCAAAATTTAAGAATTAGGTTTAAATAAATAACAAAGTACAAAGCCAAAAAGAGTAAATGTAGTTGCTTTTTCTTTCAGAAATGGATACGGGCCAGGAAATGGGCACAGTTAAGGTGGTGCCAGGAAAGTCACAGCTTTCCAAAAGTTGAATAAACTCCATAATATAAATGTAGATGGAAGAAACCATCAATGCTGCAGATAATGTGTCCAGTTTCCTCACAATGACATCTCTATAGCCTGGGGTATGTCCATCTTGGCTTAAAGAGGCAGCACCTATGGGAAAACTGGCTAGCCATATGTAGAAAGCTGAAACTGGATCCCTTCCTTACACCTTATACAAAAATTAAATCAAGATGGATTAAAGACTAAAATGTCAGACCTAAAACCATAAAAACCCTAGAAGAAAACCTAGGCAATGCCATTCAGGACACAGGCATGGGCAAGGACTTCATGACTGAAACACCAAAAGCAATGGCAACAAAAGCCAAAATTGACAAATGGGATCTCATTATACTAAAGAGCTTCTGCACAGCAGAAACTATCATCAGAGTGAACAGACAACCTACAGAATGGGAGAAAATTTTTGCAATCTACCTATCTGACAGAAGGCTAATATTCAGAATCTACAAAGAACTCAAACAAATTTACATGAAAAAAACAAGCAACCCCATCAAAAAGTGGGCAAAGGATATGAACAGACACTTCTATGCATCCATAGAACAGACAGCTATGCAGCCAACAGACACATGAAAAAATGCTCATCGTCACTGGTCATCAGAGAAATGTAAATCAAAACCACAATGAGATACCATCTCATGCCAGATAGAATGGCAATCACTAAAAAGTCAGAAAACAACAGATGCTGGAGACGATGTGGAGAAACAGGAACGCTTTTACATTGCTGGTGGGAGTGTAAATTAGTTCAACCATTGTGGAAGACAGTGCAGCGATTCCTCAAGGATCTAGAACTAGAAATACCATTTGACCCAGCCATGCCATTACTGGGTATATACACCCAAAGGATTATAAATCATGCTGCTAATAAAGACACACGCACATGTTTGCTTATTGCAGTACTATTCACACTAGCAAAGACTTGGAACCAACCCAAATATCCATCAATGATAGACTGGATTAAGAAAATGTGGCACATATACACCGTGGAATACTATGCAGCCATAAAAAAGAATGAGTTCATGTCCTTTGTGGGGATGTGGATGAAGCTGGAAACCATCATTCTCAGCAAACTATCACAAGGACAGAAAACCAAACACTGCATGTTCTCACTCATAGGTGGGAATTGAACAATGAGAACACTTGGATGCAGGGCGGGGAACATCACACACTGGGGCCTGTTGTGGGATGGGGAGAGGGGGGAGGGATAGCATTAGGAGAAATACCTAATGTAAATGATGAGTTGATGGGTGCAGCAAACCAACATGGCATATGTATATGTATCAAACTGGTATGTTGTGCACATGCACCCTATAACTTAAAGTATAATAATAAAAAATAAAATAAAATAAAATAAAATAAAGAGGCAGCACCTCTCTGGAGCCATGACCTCTTTGTCAAACCCTGGCCTGGCCTTGTCACCTTTGGGAAATCAGCTGGCCCTCAATGCCTGTTCTCTCATCTGCAATTATATGTCTACTATTATTGTCTCAGTAGACAATAATAGTATCTAACTCAGTAGACTGTGGTAAGGATTTTAAAAATAATAATGGAGGTGAGGCACTTAGAACAATGTCTGCTATACATGGAATGTTCAGCACATGTTGTTTATTTGTATTTGCTGCCAAAAAAATTCTGAACTCAAGCTCCTCCCACGGATTCTTCAAGCTGTAGGCATTTACCCCTCCTACTTCCTCAGGTGGCTACTTTCCTGTTTAATAAATGTTGATTCTTAGACAGTATTTCCATCTTAAATCCACTGCATTTTTGTAAATAGAGGAAATATAAATCTTAAATAATTCTTTTTAAAATTACTTCATTCCCAACCAAATCCTTTACAATTAAATATTTAATAATATTATGGAACACAAACCCTGATGGAAAGTCCCAAAATTGATTGAAATTTTTCTAGAATCATATTTGTTTCTGTGAATCACTTTTTTATTATGAGGTAAGAGATACAGGGGTGGACTGCAGAAAAGTTAGGAAGGAAAATAATAAACAATTACATGATCTAGTCCAGTTGATAAAATTTTCAAGTTGGCTAATATGCTTTAAAAAAAAGTATTTCCAAAATAAAAGCTTTTTTTATTGTATGGTTGTGGAATGGTACTAAAGGGGATTCAATATGTATTTCAAAATTTAATATGAATGGCAGACTTGTTAAATTTGCATCCACTCTTCTTTGAAAGGTAGGTACGATTGTCAGCATTTCATAACAAAGAAAACACAAGCTAATGGGTTGAATGGTGTCCCCAAGACAGCACTCGGGGTCATCAGAGATTTACAGGTAAGCCTTCCTCATTAGAAAGCACAAGCTTTCCTTTTAACCACATGATAATAACCTTGAGTCAGACGGTGGACTTTACAAAATACTGTAGGGGACTGATTCCATGGCTCTTGCAAAGTGGCACTTACACACAGATCGGCAATTATGGACCCAGGCCAGCAGTCACAAACACCACTGCAGGTGCTGGCTCACTACCCCCACATCCCTCATGCAATCAGTGCTAACAGTTTCATGGAAATTCCCATTAATGTTTTAAAGCACTGGCATTCAGTAAGAATGTGCAGGTACAGCAATTACCAATGAGGAAAATTAAGTCTCATTTTCAAAGATTAGCACATGTTCTACAAATTGAATGTTATCCCAAGAAATGGAATCCATGGAATGACCTGAGAATCAATACAATTTCTTTTTTATTTTTACAGAAGTAGTACTTTTCTTGCTATTTAAAAAATAATTTAAAATTTTTTAAAAAAACATTCTAAGTGTTAGAAAAACCTGTTACGTAAATGAACCCTCAGAGGAATGGCATTAATTAAGAGAGTAGAGCAACACGGTGTGAGCCTCCAAACTCCCACATTCTTTGTTCATCTTCAATAGCCAATATAATTAGTTTTGTATAAATATTTTATTTACATATAATATTTCCTATCTTCACTGCTAACATAAAATAAACCTCTTACAAATTTCGATGCTTTAAGCATCTTATTTCACCTGTAACAAATAAGACAAAACATTCAATGTTAAAAAATTTGGATCATTTCTAGTATTGATTTCCAAAAGCTTTTGGTGGTGATTGAGATTCATAAAATCTCTACTACCTCTTAAAAGAGGAGAAGACATATTTTTCTCTAGTAACATACTGATAAGTTAGAAACACATGGTGATGTCATCATGCTGGGGGGAAAACATAGATTATTTTTTTCCTTTAATCAAGACTGATAAGACTATGAATTACATATTGTTCTAAAAGTCTGCACTGGAATAACTCCAGCTGAAACACTCTTCACTGGTACTGTGGGACCATGAAAGTCTTTCTATATCATGAGTATCTCAGTCAAAAGGTTTCCAGGAATCCATCTAAGACCTCACTCAGGGGCCGCCTCTCTCCTACCCTAAACACTCCTTGCTGTAAGTTCCCTTCAAGTTGAATGTCTGTAGCAGGCTGAGCTATCCCATCTTCTGCAGTGACTTCACCTGTTTAAGTCAGCAATCCCCCGAGATTTGAAGCTTCTCAAGGGCAAGTTTCATGTCAGTGGTCTCACTTCTATTCCCCACCCCCACCTTCAACCAAAAAGAATGTTGTCCCAGGAAGACATTAAACCCTGTGAATGATCAAGTAATTAAGAAATTGGTGAGATTAAGAAAGCTCGCTTAAACTCAACATTTTAAAAACACAGGAAAGTTGCTCGGCCTGTGCTACAGATTACAGTAATGTTTCTGTTTACTTTTGATATTGTCTCTGCCTAAAGAAGAAAAACATCGGGCTTTGAGAATGCTGCAGAGTCACAGGCCGGCATGTATTCTTCATTGCCTCTATAAAAGGTAAACTTAGAGAAATCTAAACATGCTTATATACAGTCAGGCATTGTTTAACAACAGGGATATATTCTGAGAAATGTGTCCTTAGACGATTGTGGAATTGTGCAAACATCAGAGTGTACTTACACACACCTAGATGGCATCACCTAGTACACAGCTGGGCCCTATGGTACAGCCTATTGCTCCTAGGCTATGAACCTGTAGAGCATGTTACTGTACTGAATACTGCAGGCAGTAACTGTAACAGTAACTGTAACACAATGGTAAGTATTTGTATACCTAAACATATCTAAACATAGAAAAGGTAATGTGACATTATGAGGGCTATGATATGACTGGGTGATAGAAACTTTTTAGCTCAATTAAAATCTTATGGGGCCATTGTTATATATGTGGTCCATCCTTGACTGTATGTCTTTATGTGGTGCATGACTATATTAGCAGTCAATAGGAAAAAAAATGAAGATATAAATTGATAATTTATCAGTCAGTATCTAGCTTTCTAAATGTACTTTAATCTTGTCTGCAAAAAGGATTGGGTTGTTTGGGAAAAGGGAGAATGATGGTTAGAAAGTGGGGTGGTGGTCCTAAAGAAACAGAAGAATATTAAAAACCTATCAAGATGCCATCTATCAATAATGTTAACAATAAATATTGGGGGAAATCTCATGGACTCAACACTAGTAGTTTGTGAGAAAATAATGAAACAATCAAGACAAGCCTCCCTTTAACAGTTTTCAAATCCTAGAATAACACTGAGATGTATTCCGAAACACCGTGAAGGGTATTTCACAATGCATACACAACTGGGAAGGAGCCTAGCATGCTCACAATAGTAAAACGATGCTGGGCACAGTGGCTCATGCCTGTCATCCCAGCAGTTTGGGAGGCTGAGACAAGTTGAGCTTGAGCTCAGGAGTTCGAGATCAGCCTGGGCAGCACAGTGAGACTTCATCTCTACAAAAAATAAACAAAAAAATAGCTGAATATGGTGGCACATGCCTGTACCTCCAGCTAGGAATAGCTAGGAGGCTGAGGTGGGAGAATTGCTTGAGCCTGGGAGGTCAAGGCTGCAGTGAGCTAACATGGTGTCACTGCACTTCAGCCTGGGCTACAGAATGACACCCTGCCTTAAAAAAATAAAAAAAATGTATATTTTGTAGAATTATTACTATAGTAAAAATATTTCCAAAAAAAAACCATACACACACACACACACACACACACACACACACACACACACACACACACACACACATATGAATAGTAAGAAGTAATAGAGTCTTATATTGAAAGTTCTTTGATGTCCTATTCTGGAATTATTCTAGCTTCACTTTCCCATGATCCTGTGTTCTATCCAGATGCATCCACTCATACCCTTAGGAGGCCAGAAGGCAGCCATGCACCCTAGATCAAAAGGTGTTGGCTCAATGCTGTTAGGGAGTGACCCCAGACACATCCCCTATCTCTCTGGAGCTTGGTTCAGGTCTCAGACGTACAGCATACACACACGAACACCAAGGTGCCAGGAGACACTGCAGGAAGACCTTCAAAGGGGAACAGATCAAACAAATAGGCACCTGAAGGAAGGGAAGGGAAGTTTAGAGGTGGGGCCAATTCAACACCCAGAGTTCTATGACTTCCAATTGCACGCACTTTGTTTCAGCTGTACCATCTTTTCTATCTCCAGTATCCTAGGTTTTGAGCAGCAGAATCGTGGTTTCCCTAGAGAGTCAAGACAGAAACCACAGCACAGACTGCCTCCTCTCCTTTCTTCAGGGTTGGATGGTTCTCTCTGTGTAGTTGGGGATGGCAGCCACTGGTTACCTGTGGCTCTGAGCACATGAAAGGTGGTTCCTGAAACTAAGGAATTCATTTTTAAATCTTATTTACATTTGTTTAATTTAAATTTAAACAGCCAGTTCTGTCCAGTGGTTATCCAAATTTGGGCAACACAGGTCTAAGGGAATGAATTCCTTCTTAACACAGATTGAAGGTTCCAGGGAAGTTACCTGTATATTTGCAGACTTTTATCCAGTACATATGCAAATAATTTCTGTCCAGTGAAACAGATAACACCCAAAATGTGTGGCCTGGCGGAAATTTCTTAGTTGATAAATAGATAGATAGAAAGATAGATCCCTAATTTCTCAAGGCTCTCTGAATTGGTCATGGTATCTTATGATGTCCCTCATTCATTAAAAGATTAAATAAAAATTTTTACATGTGTTCACTTTATATTTGCTTTATAATTTTACCTTTTGTAAATTATACTTTAGGATCTTATTTTTGAGGAGAGAGAAGATTGTTAAGGCTCCAGCTTGGAGTTGTCTCTCAATAAGTAAGCAATAAATATTCACCTTTCTTCCTCATCCTTTATCCCTGCTAACAGCATCTAGGAATCCTTATTTCATCCTACTTCCCCATCTGCAACCTTATTGGGCCCAGAAATACCACTTCCTCTAGGAAGTCTTACTTAATTCCTCCATTTAATGTAAATCCCCTCCCCCTAAATGCCCACTACATTTGAGTTGCATCATTCTTAGGGGTCGTAAGCTACATTCTATCTCACAATATCCCATAGATAATTTTATCTCTCCTACCAGGCTTTAGATTCTTTTGAAGGTGAAGGCTACATTTTATTGCATTCTCCCTGGTGTTGATGAATAAAAACGGTAAATATTATGTGGAGGAACCAAATAACTAGACTTGAAACTAATGGTGTGGTATAAAAAAGTCTTTCAGCTTGCAAAAGATAAAATCACAATCAACTGGCCTTAAAATAACTTAATCTCTGTGACAATATAATGAGGAATGTTCTTCCAGGCCCATTAAAATGACATGCAATTTGATAATTATTTTTACAGTGTCAGGATTCTAAACTAAATGTTTCTCAGCTTCTGTTATCTGGTGATACTAAATGAATGTTGTCAAAAGATTAAATGTAAATTGGTTATAAATCTTCATTTAACCACATCATGCAGGGAAGGTTACATTACAGCCACCATGTTCGTGTCATCATTAAGAAATGGAGTCTTATTTTAATAGTATTAAGACTATTGAAATTATTGTTTATTCTATCTAATTGGCTTTGGAGTTGAGGATGAAGCTTTTGATGGGCATCACTGAATACAGGAGCAAAACTGAAATAAAAATGAGGGGCAGGCCGGGCGGTGGCTCACACCTGTGATACCAGCACTTTGGGAGGGCAAGGTGGGTGGATCATGAGGTCAGGAGTTCAAGACTAGCTTGGCCAACATGGTGAAACCCCATCTCTACTAAAAATACAAAAATTAGCTGGCATGGTGGTGCATGCCTGTAATCCCAGCTACTTGGGAGACTGAGGCAGGAGAATTGCTTGAACCGGGACCCGGGAGGCAGAGGTAGCAGTGAGCAAGATCGCACCACTGCACTCCAGCCTGCGCTACACAGTGAGACTCTGTCACAAGAAAACTGAAGGGCAATGAACTTAAACCCTTCTGGACCCCAAATGGACAAATGGACAGGATGGGGAATAGCTGCAGCCACTATCTGCAGGAAACACTATCATTGTCTGAAAGGCCATCTTCACTTTCTAACTAGATTTTCCAAACTAATTAAACAATCTAATTTCAGTGAAAAGTCCTTCTTTTAAAAACCCAGTTTGCGGCCGGGCGCGGTGGCTCACGCCTGTAATCCCAGCACTTTGGGAGGCCGAGGCGGGTGGATCATGAGGTCAGGAGATCGAGATCATCCTGGCTAACAAGGTGAAACCCCGTCTCTACTAAAAATACAAAAAATTAGCCGGGCGCGGTGGCGGGCGCCTGTAGTCCCAGCTACTCCGGAGGCTGAGGCAGGAGAATGGCGTGAACCCGGGAAGCGGAGCTTGCAGTGAGCCGAGATTGCGCCACTGCAGTCCGCAGTCCGGCCTGGGCGACAGAGCGAGACTCCGTCTCAAAAAAAAAAAAAAAAAAAAAAAAAAAACCCAGTTTGCCTGGCTTTTTCAGGAAATGACCTATGGTTTGATCACCTGTCCAAACCATCTGGCGGCAGGAATGTGATCTAGTTAGACTCTCACAGACGGTGTCTGGGAAGCTCCATCATTGGGCTTTAATGTTAAAGCCACACGGCCACACAGCCAGGACACTTTGATGAACAGCCACTCACGGACACAGTGAGCCCATCATGAGATGATGAGACCAAGTTGCATTACAATGATTTTGACAGCCAGCAAAATTATATTTAAAAATGAAATCTTTCTTTTGGTTCTGTATTTGAAGTAAGGAAAATCACTTTGGGGGTAAAATCAGGGTTTTGGAAGAAACTGATACTTCTTATTAGGTTTAATTTAACTGGCAGTAATAATTAGGACATGATAATTATACCAGGTGAAGCCTGCAATAGACTTAGTTCTACTTTAATACTTAATTGATATTGCAAACACCAAGATTTTCGGTGTACAGACAAATATAGTATCCTTGTATAAATGTATATGCTCAACTAATGCAGCTATTCTACAATCGAAGAATCTCTCCTTAATCAAGGAAAATGATTCATATCAGAAAAACTGTAAAAAGCACCTCTTGACACATTCTCCATGTGCTACATGAACCAAGGCCCAATCATTTGTTCCCCTCAGTCTCTCTCCTGATATGCATGGTTTCCACATCCCTTTCTACAGCCTCTGTGTGGGGGTAGGAAGAAGGAAGCAGAAAAACAAACACACACATCCACATGTTCCTTCTCCTTACTGCTCTGGCTTCTCAGACTTGGTCCCACTACTTACATTTTTTTGTTTGTTTATTTGTCTGTTTGTTTGAGACACAGTCTCCCTCTGTTGCCCAGCCTGGAGTGCAATGGTGCTACCTCAGCTCACTGCAACCCCCACCTCCCGGATTCAAGCTATTCTCCTGACTCTGCCTCCCTCCCAAGTAGCTGGGATTACAGGCGTGTGCCACCACACCCAGCTAATTTTTTGTGTGTGTATTTTTAGTAGAGATGGGGTTTCACCATGTTGGTCAGGCTGGTTTCGAACTCCTGACCTCAAGTGATCTGCCCACCTCGCCCTCCCAAAGTTCTAGGATTACAGGCATGAGCCACCATGCCCAGTTTTAAATTTTTAAAAGAGTATTAATAAATACATCAATCAGAGGAATATGTAAGATTCTACTGAGAAGCACAATTCCTATTAGCGCAAGGGAGACAAAAACACTATCATGGTATTGTTAAGGCTCCAGCTTGGGGTTGTCTCTCAATAAGTAAGCAATATTCACCTTTCTTCCCTATCCTTTATCCCTGCTAACAGCATCTAGGAATCCTTAATCTATCCGACTTCTAAGTAGGAGGTGAGCAGGGGTGTGGGAAAACATTCTGGCAGGATCTCTATGCAAAAGAAACAGGTGGTTTAGGGTGCGATTGAGAGGTAGACATGTCCCACACAGCTCCAGCACAGAACTGCACGCCGGGGTGACAGGTCTGCCTTTCAGAGGACTAAGCTGCTGTGGCAACAGCCAGCCACAGCCCTCCAGAGGAAGGACCACAGTTCATAAACTTTAGAGTCTCTGGGAGCACTTGCTGGGGAGCAGCGTGATGGAGGTGCTTTCCAGAAGGCGGTGCTGACCAGGCCGCTCCCTGCGGAAGCCCCTCTGGGGAAGGACACTGGGCAGCAGGAATGATGGTGGTGGCTCAGCAGGGGTGGAGAACTCCTGTGTGCAGCCTGTGTTCCTGCTGAGAGAGGCCCCAAGCCCTGGAGTCATGACATCAGGAGGCTGTCGTGACTCGTTCACTAGGTGTGGGAAGCCCAGCACTGTGTAGTACATGCTGCAGAGGGCAGAACCCTGAGGTGTGTGGCAGCCTAGAGTCCTGCTGAGCATGGCAGCCGGGGCTGGAAACAGTGAGGCCTGTTCTGGAGTGCCTCTGTGCAAATCCACCTATCTGGGGTTGGGGATTGGACATGAGTTATTTATTCGTTTATTAGTTATTAATTTTTAAGTTTACCAGGGAAATTGCATGCATAGCAAAATATGGAAACCATTCATTAAAAGATTCATGAGACTAAGGTATCAGTTCAGTGGACACAAAATAAGCATTCCAGGAGTAGAAAGCACCCTACTTTGTGGGGTGACATTGAGACAGTGCTGGGAACCTAACAGTGAAGCTCCCTATGTGAGGACCTGGTGCCACAAATGGGGTGGTAGATAATGCACATGGGCCTCCACTCATGTTCCTCCGTGGCAGCGAATTAAAGAACATCCATCTTCTTACTTCTTTTCTGTTTCTCAGTTGCCAACCATATGCCTGTTTAGTTACACACCTCGGCATGGTGGCTCACACCTGTGATCCCAGCACTTTGAGAGGCCAAGAAAGGTGGATCACTTGAGCCCAGGAGTTTGAGACCAGCCCGGGCAACATGGAGAAACCCTGTCTCTACCTACATAAAAAATAAAAATTAATAAATAAATTAGCTGGTCATGGTGGCATGCACCTGTACTCCCAGCTACTTGGCAGGCTGAGGTGGGAGAAATCACTTGAACCCAGTAGGTCAAGGCTACGGTGAGCCATGATCCTGCCACTGTACTCCAGCCTGGGTAACAGAGAGAGTTCTTGCCCAAATAAATAACTAAATAAATAAAATAAGAAATCAGCCAAAGACTTCACTTGCTCTGACAGAAACTTTCACAAAATCTACTAGAACGCAGTGGATTCAGAGATCTGTCAAACACTTCTTTATCTAATACTGCATAGGTGACTCCCTGTCTAGAAAAATTAATAAAAACTGACAAGCCACCTGCACTGTAGCTCTTCCGCTTCCTCTACTGTTCATTATTGGCTTTATTTCATTTCTATATTAAACTGCATATTACAAACTCAGGCCAGCTGGATCTTTGCATAGATACTATATCTTGTTTCTGCCAGAGATGATTTTTATTCAGAATGAACAGTAAAAGGCAACACTACGTAGAAAATGCACTTGAGTTTTAAAATAAAGATGAAAAAACTTGTGCATCATCCAATGGTCCTCCGCAGCATGGAGGAAAAAAAAAAAAACATACTTCAGGGAGATAATATCTTTCCTTCTCCATTTCACAAATGGGTATCTTCAATTAAAACACTTGTTTAGATTCATTAGTGTTTCCTTGATTTGATTCTTCGGTCCATGAGTAAATACATTTTAGAGATTAAATGATTAGTTTCTTTACATATGAAATAGGGCTAATAGTATTTGCCTTTAATGATGTTGGAGAATAGTAAATAAAATAAAATACCCTTGCCAGGCATGTACAGTTGCTCCCTTGTATACATAAAGGATTGGCTCCAAGACCTCCTATGGACAGCAAAATCCAACAGTGCTCAACACCTTTATATAACATGGTGTGGTATTTGCCTATAATCTGTGTATATCCTCTCATATATTAAAATTGTTTCATCAGCAATGGGGAAAAGACTCCCTATTCAATAAATGGTGCTGGGATAACAGGCTATAGATATACAGAAGAATGAAATTCAAGATGGATTAAAGACAATCCATCTTGGAGTTCATTTTTCTGTATGGTGATTCCTATACAGAAAAATACCTATCACCATACAGAAAAATCAACTCAAGATGGATTAAAGACTTAATGTAAGACTTCAAACTATAAAAATCCTAGAAGAAAACCTAGAAAATATCCTTCCCATTCTAGGCCTTGGTAAAGAATGTATGCTTAAGTCTTCAAAAGGAATTGCAACAAAAGCAAAAATTGACAAGAGGGACCTAATTAAACCTGCATAATTAAAGAGCTTCGGCATAGCAAAAGAAACAAACAAGGGAGTAAACAGGCAACTACAGTCTGGAATCTTCAGGAATGAGCCCAGCAAGGCCAGAGTTCATGGGGGAAAAATTTTCAACATAAACGTAAAAGAGTGACTAAATCAATCAAGGGTAAGAAGTGAAGATTCAAGTACAAAGCAGAGGGCAGCAAACCAGGTACAAAGGAATCTGTCACCTATGCAGTGAGCATAACCCAACAGGTAGTTTCTCAAATCAGAGACCCAACCAGTAACCAAGGTAAAAGAGGGACTAAATCAATCAACGAAAAAAAAGTCAAGATGCAAGTTCAAGGCAGAGGTCAGGAAACGGAACTCCACATGGACACAGAATGGTCTACTCATGGCGCAGCCAAGGGGAGGGGCAGGCAGCCGTCAGGGAAAAGTACTCAAAAAGGCAACACTTACCGAATGACTGAAATTTGGAGTCATGGATTTCAGCAGGGATTTGCAGTGAAAGAAACAGGCATATAGAGACTAAGTTCCCAATAAACGTTACAATTCATCCTTTCACTCTCCTCTTGAAATGGGATGTATTGTGAATGTATTGAGCTAAATTATCCTGCATGGCTTTGGCCAGCTATCCCATTCTCTGGTGAGTGTTTATTTTCAAAGAGTTAGATGAGTGAAGAGCGGAGAATGGTAATGTAACCAATCTGATGCCTTGTTAGAAAATCTTCCCTCATGATACCAGAATGCTTTGGTGTGAAAGACTGGTTCCTGCTGGAATAGTTTCTTTTTTAAGACTAATGCACAAAAATGCATATTCTGCCTATGTTTCTTCCCATGATGTGTATTCATTTAGTGCGTAAGGAATTATTTCTTTTCTTCCTTGTTCGCCTCAGTCCTAGTGCCCAGCTCAGTATCTTGCATTTGCTGCTAGTTGATGACACTGAATTTGCAGCAAAATGAAATAGACCTTCTTCAATTGGTCTGGTCTGTTTGTCACTGAGTATATGTGTCATTGCTGTGACAGTAACCTGGCTGATGAATGAAATTTACTGGACTATGAACAGTAATAAGATATTCCTGAAGCCCTGGTTTCTCACTTTGCTATCTTAAACCAAAGCTATTAAACTCTTCAAATAAGCATGCTTTATTCAGTAATTCATAGACTTCAATTAAATTTGGAGCAGCAGAGAACTCTGAACATTCCCATTGATGCCACAGTGGTATGGCCAGAGCTAGGCTCAACTGCTCCAAAATCGTCAGCCAAATACCTCAGTCTCCCAAGCCAAAATTTGACATAGACTATGCTTCTCCGGCCTTATTTCATTACTCAAAATAAGATGATTGAAAAATGTATGAAGCTTACAGTAGAATACTAGTGGGCACAAGAGAGGAGATGTAAATATTCAGGTAAAACTCAATAAGTTCAGAAAAAGATTTTCAGCAGATGCAAATTAATTGGAAAAAATGTCAGATGATAAATCTTTGCTTTACCACTTTGCAGTCTGGGTTTGACAAGGACATAATCTCTAAAAAGGAAGGATTTTCAAAAGAATCAACAGAACATTAAAGGTATAGAGAATTCAGACACTAATTCAATCATACATAATCTTATCTAACAGTTAATACACTTTCTAAGATGACGTACCAGTTGGAGGATAAGATGCAAAGGATGAAAAAGATAAAAGTAGATTTAATGCAATGTTTTACAGGTAAAACATTGGTTTTGGTTTGAATAACGACCTTTTACTCTTACCACTTTGGACAACATAGGAGGCAGAATTCTATGATAATCCCCAAAATTCCAGCCCCCTAATATACATGTCCTATGTAAGTAACCCTCTCGCCTTGAGTGCAGGTGGCACCTGTAAAAATGATCAGATATCCTCCTATTAGGAGGTTATATTAAATACCAAAGATAAAGGATTTTTGTAGATGTGCAAAAGGTCAGAAATCGGTTGATTTTGAATTAATCCAAAAGGAGATACCCTGGGTCGGCCTGACCCAATCAGAGAAGCTCCCATAGAAAAACAGTCCAGATCTTGTGGAAACGAAGATACGGAGATAGAGCTTCCGACCGCTTTGAAGATGTGAACTATCATGCTGAGAGTCCCACGTGTCAGGGCATTGCAGGAGCCTCAAGGAGCTGAAAGCAACCATGGCTGACAGCCAGCAAGAAAGCTAGGACTTCAGTCCTACAACTTCAGGGAATGAATTCTGCCAACAATCATGTCAGTGTGAAAAATGAATCCCAAACTGCAGAAAGGAACATGGCCCAATTAATGCGTTGATCCATCCTTGTGAGACCCTGAGTGGAGGATGCAGTTAAGCACTGCTCACAATGTCTGCGGGTCAGACCTGAGGAAATGCGGGACCTGACTCACAGAAATTGTGAGATCATAAATGGGTGTCGTTTAAAGCCACTGCACTAGTAGTAATTTATTACACAGCAAAAAATGACTAATACGTGTGGCTGGTTTACTTCACCTCACTGTTAGTTTTCTTTTTTTTAATTTTATTTTATTATTATTATACTTTAAGTTTTAGGGTACATGTGCACAATGTGCAGGTTAGTTACATATGTCATATGTATACATGTGCCATGCTGGTGTGCTGCACCCATTAACTCATCATTTAGCATTAGGTATTTCTCCTAATGCTATCCCTCCCCCCTCCCCCCACCGCACAATAGTCCCCAGAGTGTGATGTTCCCCTTCCTGCGTCCATGTGATCTCATTGTTCAATTCCCACCTATGAGTGAGAACATGCGGTGTTTGGTTTTTTGTCCTTGCGATAGTTTACTGAGAATGATGATTTCCAATTTCATACATGTCCCTACAAAGGACATGAACTCATCATTTTTTATGGCTGCACAGTATTCCATGGTGTATATGTGCCACATTTTCTTAATCCAGTCTATCATTGTTGGACATTTGGGTTGGTTCCAAGTCTTTGATATTGTGAATAGAAGACCATAATAGGAGGGCACTTTAAGAATTTCATGTGATTGACACTCTTGGCATGTAGCTAGCATGTAATAAAAGCTCAGTAGAGGCAGTTAATCATAATAATAGTGCTGCTAATAGCACTATTAGTAGCAGCAGTATAAACTGCAGTAATTGTGACAGGCTGGAACTCCTAGATATGCTTGTAAACAAAATTAAATTGGGATGAAGAATTCTACAGGCTGGTATTTGACTAAATTAAATCAATGCTTGATTAAATCTATTGACATCTATACGTATGTGTATATTGGCTTATTCCAAATAGACACGTGACACACACACACACACACACACACACACACACACACACACACACACACAAACATAATGCTCCAGAAACAGCACAGTATACCTTTCTACAAATACACTACACATTTTCCTACCTTTGTATCTCTTTCTTATGTCCTGGTTTTTCCCCCTGAAATGTCATTCCCACAGCTCTACCTGTAAAATTTGTTGACTTTTCATTGCCTACCTAGGATATTGTGTATTAACAATGTTCCAAGAGCTGTTGTTGTCGTTTTGTAATATGAGATAGGAATCATATGAGATAAATATTACTATTATTCCAATGTATCCCTTTTTAAAGGACAGGGAATGAAGGACTACAAAGACTGATTTGGCTGTGTTCGTGGTGTGGTGTCAGCATCTGAAATTAGTCACTCAAGCTCCTGGTTGTGCCTTCCACCACCACAATAAGCTTTGAGTCGATGGCCCCTCATAGATACTCCTCCATACCCCAAAAAGATTTTTTTTTCCTTTTCTTATCTCTTAACGATATTTTATTTGACTTAGTAGGGTTTAAGCTAAGACCAAGCTGAGCTATATTTGGCATATAGATACACTGAGTTTACAGAACTGCCTAACAATGTTCTGGTCAACAATGGACTGCATATACAGTGGTAGTTTTATAACATTACAATACGGTATTTTTACTGTACTTTTTCTATGTTTAGATACACAAAAACTTGCCAATGTCTTATAATTTCCTGTAGTATTCAGTCCATTCACGTGCTGTACAGGTTTGCAGCCTAAGAGCAACAGCTGTACCATGTAGCCTAGGTGTGTGCGAGGCTATACCATGCAGGTCTGTGTAAGTCCACTCCATGATGTTCACACAATGCCAAGATCACCTAACGGTGGACTACTCAGAATGCATCCCCCTCAAAAAGTGACCCAAGACTGAATTTACATCCACTAATGTGCATGTGGGGAAGGACAAGTTGGAGAAAAAGCTTGATGCGTGCCGTCATTTATACTTTCCCAGTTGGAGGAGAGAAGCCAATCAAAGGGAATTAACAGAGAGGCTGCAGGCCTTCTGGAAGGAATCTATCTTGAGGGAAGTAGGCCTGGGGAATTGGATGCTGCTGCATCCTCTTTCTGGGCACGGACCCACCCTGACCCAGCCACTCTAGTATTATACGCCCTAGGGAGAAAATCATGGCAAAAAATTAAGGTTGTTGCTGCAATCCCCAGGGCCCAAGCCATCTTGCTCTGAGCTGCTATAAGAGTTTTACACAGTGCAAAGCCATTTTCTGATCAAATTTTATAAAAAACCATACTCATCTGAGATGCCCTGGGTTAGTGGTACCCGAAACTCCTGGTGTTCTTGGGAGAGACAGGCCTGTTGTCTTGGTTCATTTTCTGTGGTTATAACAGTATACCTGAGACTGGGTAATTTATCAAGAAAACATTTATGTAGCTCACAGTTCTTGAGGCTGGGAAGTCCAAGATTGGGCAGCCCTGTCTGGGCTGCATCATAACATGGTAGACAGCAACACGTGGTGAGAGCACATCTATGAGTGAGCAGGTGCAAAAGACAAAACACAAAGAGTGACCGAACTTTATAACAACCTGCTCTCATAGTAACTAATACAGTCCCTCAAAAGTAAGAACCCACTCTTGTCAGATGGCATTAATCCATCCATGACTGTAAATACCTTATGACCCAAGCACCTCCCGAAGTTCCCACCACCTTTAAACCAACACACCTACATTGGTGACCAAGACTCAACAGGAGCTTCTGTGAGAAGAAACCATATTCAAACCATAGCACCTGTTGAACTTGAGAAATTCAGGCTTACATGTTATTGTGGTCTATTTTTAAAGCTGAGAGATCGGGATACCTTCTTTCATCTCTTTGGTATCTTCAGAAGTTTGAAAAGTATTTCTAAGTTAATCTAACCTTCTTTTTCATACTAACCTGACACTGATGTGGCCAAAGAGACCTGGAGAACCTGAGATCTCTGCTGTGCACATCTCCCCAACACTATGCACCTTGGAGCTCCTCATCTCTGCACCCTCCATGGAGCCAACTCCAATGCTGTACACACAGCAGAGGCTTAATAAATGTGCTTTGACCAAAGATTTTGTTGTATCAACCCACAGTAACAAAATTGACAGTAGATGTAGCTGATGTGTTTAACTTCAGAAAACATATATGGGGAAATCTCATATAAAAGGACAATGTGGATTTACCTGGGAAATAGTTATTAACTAATGTAAACTGCTGGCTACAGAAAATGACTGCTGTTAATGTAGGGCTGTATATATATATATATATATACTTTTGTTATATATTTATACTTCTATTATTTTATTATTTTATTTCCTAAACATATATGTTTAGGAAACCATATGTATATACAAATGGAAAGAGTTGGAAGCAATGATCCCCCAGGGGAATCTATTGCATACAGGTAGGGAGAAGGCATCAATAAGTTTAATAATAATAATAATAATAATAATAATAATAATAAAATTAGATCAAACTGGGCAGGTTAGAAAGAACTTAAGGAGAAAGAGTCAGTGCTTACCCTAAGAAAGAAAAGACTCATAAAAAAAGAGAGACTGAGAAAAGCAGAAAAATAAGAATCAGGGCTATGCGCTTTGAGACAGACAGGCAGACAAGACAGAGGCAGAGACAGATACAGAGAGAGAGAGAGAGACACGCAGGCACCAGAAAGGAGAGAGTGCTCCCCTCCAAGGCTGCGCTGCACCCCTTCCTGGGTGCTGTGGATAGGGGCCCTAGGGCTCCTCCTTCCACAATGGCACTGTAATGGGAAAGGCCCACAACAAGCATGAAACCAGTCCTCACGAGCAGAGCCATGTGGGTCAAATTACTGCAATTTGGGAGAAATTCTGCAAAGACATTTGGGAGGGATTTGTGCAGGAGGAACACCAAGAATTTTGTTTGTTTGTTTGTTTGTTTGTAGAGAGAGCCTTGCTCTGTTGCCAGGCTGGAGTGCAGTGCTGCAATCTTGGCTTACTGCAATCTCCGCCTCCTGGGTTCAAGCGATTCTCCTGTCCCAGCCTCCCGAGTAGCTGGGACTACAGGCGCCTGCTACCACGCCCAGCTATTTTTTGTATTTTTAGTAGAGACGGGGTTTCACCGTGTTGGTCAGGCTGATCTCAATCTTTTGAAGTCGTGAACTGCCCGAAGACTCCATGAGTATAACAAGATTAACTTGAGCCTAAGAATTCCTAGGCATGGGCAGCTCGCTGCTTCAGCCACTGGCTCAGGCCAAATCAGTTCTTCAAAATCAGTCATGGCTCCAGTCCCCTCCTTGGTATATGCTGCTACTTATGAGGAAATCCTAATCCTGAGCACAGAAGTTCATTCTCTTGCTGCGCTAATGATCCGGCCAGAAAGTGCTGACAGCCGGCTGGCTGCCTGGCTGGCTCTCCTGCAAATGCACAGTCTTCTTGTCATACAGCAGGAGGAGCACAATGGATAACCAGTGTATATATCTACATTTAACTTTACGTAACTATCCTAGTATACGTATGGGACTTGCATACAGTCTTCCGCATATGTACATCTTTACGTAGTTGGTATGATTTCTCTGTAATAAAGTCCAAATTTTAGTGTGTGTGTTAATTCTCTTAACATCCACACCCTTTACTCATTGACTATTGCATTCATTTTTAGCTATGCAACACTTTGAAAATAAGGGTTTTTTTCCCCCACCTTAATGTAATAAACCAAACCACTGCAAATTTTATCTTGCTTTTCATTATCTGGAATAATTTAGCTACTTTTTTTTTCTCTCTCTACCCTTTATATCTATATCCATTAGAACACAGTTCCTGAAAATCATGGTTTTTGAAAACCCAAAACATATCCAATTATAGTTTAAATGTAAGAGACTCTCTCAATGATCAATAAATCTGACACCCACAAACACTTGTTTTACTTTAGAAATGGCGCAAATATGTGAGTCCCAAATTATGAAATTATGGTGTTGATTTTCACTTTGTGCTTGACCTCTACCTGAAGGTACAAAGCTGAGGTCTAATTTGACATTAATTAATCTTACTCTCTTCCCCTCACTCTTAAACTTGAAAAACATAGTAGGGAAAAATGCACTAGCCTTCTACCATTCTTATGCCCTATGTGACATAAAAACAAAAGTGAAGTTAGCTACTTAGTCAAAGCTGGCAAATGCATTCTCACCATCCCTAGTGTCCATACAGAAAACGTGCATGCCTTCTGGACAGAAAACACTAAGGTTGTGTTCCTCTATTGAAATTTGGGGGAAGTCCAAAAAGATGGACAAAGGATGTTGTATTTTAAAAACCAGTAGTTCCATTAAAAAAAAAAAAAAAACTTAACTACTTAGTGACCTGAGTGACATCAATGTGTTCTTGTGAGGGCTATTTTCTCATGTTTGGTGGTGAATGTGCAGACACAATGTTTATCGTAGAGAGAATTCTCCAAATAGAAGGTGTAGAAACCTCACTACGCTGAGCTCATTCAAGGACCTGGGCATAAAGCAAATTACAAGAGGGATTGAACCACGTAATAAGAGAGAAGCCTTTAGTCTTTATTTCTACTGAAGCAGGTATGCTTTAGAGAGACGTGTTTCAACTGAAATGCACAAACCACAAAATCACTAAATTCAAAATTCAAAAGAGAAATTCATCATAAGGGCTGTGGAATTGACTTCTTAGAGTATATTTTGTGGAAAATAGAAATCTGGAGCACTACATTTTAGATGCAAAGCATAAGTGGGTCCCCGATGTTACAGTTGGTCAACCACACGTACAGACAGGGACTAGAGACTCTTCTCTCCACCTTCAAAAATGACAAATATTGGTAATGAGAGTCCCAGAACTAATCCTTTCCTGTATAAATGTGAATGCTCATTTAAAATTTGAAAAATAAAGTTATGATTCATTAAAATGAAAAACAAGAAATTTAGGGGAAAAAGTTCTTAGTCCATTGATCACTCATCTCACTTTGCTGAAAGATCGTTAAATGGTTTGAAATTAATGTCTGATAAATATGTGAGCTGATTGAAGTTATAAATATCTTCAAACAGCTATTCAAAGCTTATTAAAAATCTTCACTTTAATGAGGCGAAAACATGAAAATTGACTCTACCTAATGCCTAGCAGAGTCCAATATTGCACTTTACATATTGGTTTACAAACATTATTTCCAGGTGTCTTTAAATAGAGCTCCAATCTTGCACTGTTCTGATTTTTCAAAATCCTTCCAGATATTTGGACTCAAGTACCATCACTAAGAATAGAACCCACAGTAACATCAGCCTAGCCACAAGCTTCCACATGCACCACCAGTAGCTGCTGCTTTGCGGTGTTGTATGCTGGATCTTTTGTACACCTCTAAATGATGGAAGGTACCACAGCGCAATCTATGGGACCACTTCTGTTTTCTATCCAAACTCGCTGCTCAAGTGATCTTCTCAGTCCTATGGCTTACGTATCTACCCTTTGCTTTTTGCTAAATTTATGTTTCCAGCTTTGAGCTGCAGATTTGTACAGCAAATTGTCTCCCTGACTCATCTGCCTTGCCATCTCTAAATTACTATGCCCAAATTAGAATCCCTGATTGTTCTTCAACAAAACCTGCTTCTGCCTAGTCTCCCCCATCCCAACAAAAACACCCCCAGTCACCCAGGTGTTCAAGTAACTGTGATTCATCCTTAATTTCTCTATTTCCATCATATTCAGCTTCTAATCCATCAACAGATACTGTAGGTTTTATCATCAAGATCACTCCAGAATGAGACCACCTCTCACCACCTTCAGAATGACACAAGCGTCACCCACGCAAGCACCTGCTCTTACCTGGAATCCATTACCTGCATCCATTTCAGCCTGCCTGAGCCATTTCTCCAACAGAGGCTGGGCTTTTCTTTTAGAAACATGAATTAGAGCCCATTATTCCTTTGCTCAGCACCTGCTGATGGCTACCTATGCATATTCTTTACACACATCTGCCCCTGCCCCTCTCCCAGATCACCAGTTCATTCCCAGATCCAGCCACTCTACATCTACATACACCAAACTCAATATCTGCCCTCGGCCTTGGCACTTGCCATTCCCTCTTCCTTTCCACTGTTCCTCTCAACATTGCACAGCTAGTTCCCTCAATCTATCCAGCACTCGACTTAGAGAAGCCTTTCAGAAATAGTCTGTTTTTGTACAAACGACCAATACCTGTATCCTTTCGATCTGTTTGACATTTCTGTATGGACTCATAACTAGCTCAAATTATATAGCAAATTAATTTAATTACTTGCTTACTGGCCATCTTTCCCACTATAAGGTCAGCTCCATGAGGCTAGGAATCCTGCCTGTTGTTTTCACCATTACATCTGAGTACTTAGAACCACTCCGCCACAGAGCCTGCACTCCGTAAACTTTCCTTTATTGAAGGAAACATAATTGAATGTGCATCCCTTTTCACAGCCTGGGTACCAGACAATTCTTATATTCTATTATTGTAAAGGTAAACTGAAGTGCAAATAAACATAACTTTGAATAGCAAGGTTGTAGGTTGAAATCAAGTAGTCATTACATATGTATATATGCATGAGCATATCTTACTGAAGCAATTTTTATATTATTGGCCTATATGGAGCCAGTGAATACTCAAATTAACTGTAAGTGTGTCTATCTGTTGGCATGAGCCAAGAAGTATGACAACAGTGACGGTTCACAGAGCAGGATGTAGCTGGCTGCATTTGCTGTATACCAAGCCAGCTCCTTGGCTAGAAGCAAGTGGGAAGAAGCACACCCTCTTTGAAATAATCCTGCAAGAGGCAAGCTGGGCTTGAAGTCTGGGAGGATCCAGGGGAAGAGTGAAGAGGAAGGCACTCAGCTGATAACCAACTTCCTCACTTGCTCCACTTATATTTAGTGATTGCTCTGATCACAATTTGAATAATGCTCACCAGAGACTGTTAGTCAGAACAATGTGTCCCCTAGGACTGATCTACTGACTTCAATTTCATGTTCTAATACAGAACAGCATACATAACTTGAAGATAGGAATCTACACAACTGTGAACAATAGAGGAGGGTCACAGAAATCTAATAACAGCCTGGAGAGAATCCCATTCTTGCTTTGCTGTCATGCCAATGAATTGCATTCTACAAGAAACTCTGTTAATTGACTGCTCCTATCTTGCACCAGGCAAACCAAGTCACAGTGAAGAGAAGGTATCCATGGCTCTTTAAAGCAGTACTTTATAAAAATTCTATGCATGCCCATCTGAAAATAACTTAAAATCTCTGTTGTAGCTTTCTGATCTTCTTTCTATCTCATAAAAAATATTTCAAAGTAACATCGTGGGTTCAGACACCTGTCTCCCCAATGTGATGTAAATTCATTGGACTGATGGTTCCTGTACGACAAATGCTGGAGGTGCTGAAGGCATTCCATAGATAGCTTATCAGCTTTCTCAGAAATTAAGAGGAAATTCGCTCCTCACTGGAAACCTCAGATAAATATGCCTCCCTCTCTCTCTCCTTTTCCTTTCTCCCTCTCCTTCTCTCTCTCCTCTAAACTCAGTTAGTTTCCAAAGAAAATATTTCAGAGAGCTGAGAGATCCTCCCTAATACAGAAGCCAACCCTCCTGATCACCCTCCATGTAAACTGAAATACTAACATTTCTCAATGTTTATAAAGAAAATTTACTTTCTGAAAGGGAAAACCAAATTTATTGTCCCAGTGTTATAAATAGTGTTTGTAATTACAAATTGATTTCAGAGAATGTGAAGTTCAGTTATGCCTAAATAGATAAGCATACTTTTTAAATGGGTAAGAAGTCATTGGGAAAAAATTTAACAGTGGTGTTCCCTAACTCCCCAAAATCTCTTCAGATGAGGAACTGCATTTTATTTATACTGAGAACTGCAACAAAGTGATAAGGTGTGAGAGGGAATCCTGGAAAGACAGAGCAGACAGTATCAGCTGCCTGCTGGATCTGTATCTAGGACAGTGAAATATCACAATTTGATCATTTGGGAAAATAACAGCCATACACATAGCACGGTCCTAGGAAAATCATACTTGTGTGGTAATCCCATTCAATAGGTTAATACCGAATATGCTGAGGTTTTGGTATTGTGAAATTAGAGAGTTACCTATTCATTCCCAAATCAGGAAGCCTAATTTAACCACCTGATCCGCTGTCCCAAATGATTAACTACATCCCAGAGAGAGAAAAATATATATGAATTAAACAAGGCAATCTCTCCCAGAGAAGACAGAAGGAAAACTAAGGAAATGCAGTGCTCTGTAATTTCTCTGGCCCCACCTCACTAATAAGGGCCTGGCTGGGTTAAGGCTGCTGTGTCCACAGTATCATAGTGTCATCACCTGTCACCTAGAGATGGGGGTCTGTCACTGTGACCACTTCCATACCCCTTAACCTCTCAGGGAGGTTAATTTCACAGCCCTTGGAAAGCCAATTTCTAACATAGTGTCAGAATAAGGTATCACTTTCCCAGAACAGGGAGAGAGGCTTTATCTCAAGATTATGCGAAACGAGGGGTATGTAGGGTATGAGCAGCCACATAGGGATTTGGCTAGCCTGACAATTTCTGCATCTCCTGACTCCTATTTTCTGAGCCTAGCTCACGGCACTGTTGCTGACCTGCAGTGCCTGTTGAAGGCTATGTGCTCAGGGCCTTTGCAGCTCCCCTCCCATGCCTGGCTACTGTCCCCTTCTTCTGCAGGGGCTGCCTTCCTTTCCTTTGCAGGGGTAAAAGGATGATGACCAGGAGAAAGGCGACCTTTCCTCCTCACTCCCCAACTCCTGGGGGTTCATCCCCATCTTCCTCACTAAATATAGCTCAGTTTATCAAATGGCCAGTTGAATGTCAGGGAAAATGGACCCTTTTCCTCAGAAGTGGTGGATTAATTGCTTTTCCTTTCACTTTTCTGAGGATAGGCATATAATGGAGCAGCCGCTTGGTATGAAATCATTGATTTGCCTCAAGGTTGAGATTAAGCCAGTCACTTCAAACATTTTAATATTAGCAAAAGGCTTTGTGTGATTTTTTCTTCTCTCTGCTGTGACTTTATTCAAGGTCTTTAGATCACAGGGGCTTTGACAAGTTTGTCAGTGATCAGGGGCTGCCTTAATCAAGTAAGAAAAAAAATCCCGCCAAGACCTCCTATGCATTTATATGTTACAGGACTGTTTAATGCCAGTATCTGCACAAAGCGTGGTGTGTAAACTACAGGCTTTAGAGGATATTAATTAATACAGATTGGAGAATTTCTGATGCAGCTCATTAACAGAGATCAATATTTAAAACTTATGTTTGGGTAAAAAAAAAAGTCATGGTAAATAATTGAGTAAAAGAGGAAATACACACCAGCATAAAAGTGTGTTTATTTATTTTGCACAAATATCACCATGAGCACTAATGAACAACTATATTTCCTTACAGTAAAATAATACCACATGGAGACTTCTAAAAGAAACCCATTGATAGAGTCCTATAGTCACCCTTGTGTACAAAAAGTCATGTGAATACTGCAAAAAGAGGCACATCTTGTCATTTCAATATTAACTCTCCAAGAGGTTTTTAAAACATCTCCAATATCTATATGTAAAGGTTATTCATTAATATTGGCTATTATTTGGATGTGAATCCTAGAAAAAATATAGACATTTTTAAAGCAAAGCATATGCAAGTATTTCTATATGATACATTAAGGAATGTATTGACTGAAAATACACCAAGATAATGCATATCTCGTAATTCAGATTGAAGGAACTTATTCTAAGGAAATGCTATACAAATATGCACATACAAGATGTTCACTGATGCAGTGTCACAAATGCAAAAACCTGGATTAAAAACTAATAGCCTCAGTTATGTTAATGGAAAGTGAAATACTGTGAAGCCATTAAAATGACTCTAATATCTGAGGAGAAAAAACCTCCTCCTCATTTTATAGACAAAGATGGTCAATTAAAAAATAATTAACGAAAAAATTTTCCACTTTTGGGGAAGCCATTTTATTGAATACACTCACTTATTTAAACATTCAAGAAATACTGGACGTGTCCGCCAGATTTCATGTGGTTAGAAACTTCATCCCCAAGCTCATATATTAATTTTAAGTGGGGCATTTGGGAGGTAACTAGGATTAGATGAGGTCATCGCAGAGGGGACACCCTGATAGGACTGGTGGTTTCATAGGAAGAGAAGGAGATACGAATGGACATGCATGCTCTTGTCCTCTAACCATGTGAGGCAGCAAGAAGGCCCTCACCAGATGCCGGTGGCATGCTCTTGGACTTTCCAGCTTCTAGAAGCATGAGCCCAATAAACTTATTTTATTAACAGATTATCCAGACTGTGGTATTCTATTATAGCAACAGAAAATGGACTAAGACATATACTGAAGAGTTGATGACAAAAATAAATATGTGATTTTGACACATTCTATGAGGAAAAGAAAAAGATGCAGCTCAGAATCATAGTATTGAACCTAACATAGGATGGGGGAAAAAAGCAGAGAATGTGTTGTTAGGATACTATGGGAAAGTGAGAACAGGTACACGACAATTTGCAACTAAGAATGTTTTGGACTCAGAGGGAGAATGCCCCTGGCATCATGTCAAGGCTGGGCCACACTGAGTTGGGGCAGAGGTGGGGAGACAGAACTGAGGAAAAGTGGAGCCAGGCCCCAGTGAGCTGGCTTTAGGATTCTGAATTTTGATTTATTTCAGTTCAGTTTATATACTAAAAGGTTTGATTCAGTTGGTTCATTGAAAAGATTTACCAGGGAAGAAATGACACAAGTCATATGTTTTAATTTAGTTATATAACATAATATAGAGTTGTCCCTGAGGATCTGAGGAGGGTTGGTTCCAGGATGCCCATGGATACGACGGTCTGCAGACACTCAAGTCCTTGATATAAAATGACAGAGTATTTGCATATAGCCTACACACATCCTACTGTATACTTTAAATCATCTCTAGATGACTTGTAATACCTATGACAAGGTAAGAGCTGTGCTAATACTTTTCATATTTATTTTAAAATTTGCATTATGTTTTATATTTATTGTTATTTTTTACTGCTTTTCCACCAAGTATTTTTTATGGATTGGTTGAATCTGCAGATGCAGAACCAAGAATAGAGGGCAGACTGTGGTGACAGACACCGTCTGTGTTATCACTTGAAGAGCTGTCCTGTGGGAGAAATGACAGCATGACAAACAGGCTATGTGGACTTCAGCACATCGGCACAATGTGCCTCCAGTTTTTTCATCTGGAAAAACAACTGGCAGTGGGTGGTAAGTGATATTAATGTCCCTTCCAGTTCCAAGTGCAGTTTAGTGCTTTGGGAATAGTATTCAGAGATTCTCTTATGGCAGTGACATTTTTACCAGTGTTAGGTGAATAAAATATAACTTTATGAAAAAAATGGTATAAAAGGATTAGTATGTTATTTTTCTTATACAAAGGAAACTAGCTGAATGAGAGGCTTAAGGGATATTTGTCTTTTATTATGTGAGGTTTTTTTGAAATTTAAAATATGAAGAACCAAAACTTACCACTAAATCCTACTGTCCAGATTGCTTTTAAAAGTTCTACTGTGAGAGGTAAACTGGGAATCTGAGTGTGTTTCCAGTTGTGTAATAATTACATTGCCTTATTGTTTTTTAGCCAGGTAATATTCTTATCTGGAGGCGATGTTTAATATTGTTTGAATATCTATGTGACTTGCAGCACTATCATAAATGAGTCTTACGACATGCCTCCGTCATTCTGATATTGTGGACAAATGATGTTATAGCTATCTACGAACATTACATATAAAGAATGCATATTGTCAAGATTGAATTTTACCTGAGGTCTGAGCCCCTGGAAAACAATGAAAATTAAAGAAATACTCCTCATGGCCGGGCGCAGTGGCTGAAGCCTCTAATCCCAGCACTTTGGGAGGCCAAGGCAGGTGGATCATGAGGTCAGGAGTTCGAGACTAGCCTGGCCAACATGGCGAAACCCTGTCTCTACTAAAAAAATACAAAAACTAGCGCGGTGGCTGGTGCCTGTAATCCCAGCTACTCGGAAGGCTGAGGCAGGAGAACTGCTTGAAGCCGGGAGGTGGAGGTTGCAGGGAGCCGAGATTGCACCATTGCACTCTAGCCTGGGTGACAGAGCAAGACTCTGTCTCAAAGAAAGAAAGAAAGAAAGAGAGAGAGAGGGAGGGAGGAAAGGAGGGAGGAAAGAAAGAAAAAGACGGAAAGAAAGAGAGAGAAAGAAAGAAAGAAGGAAAGGAAGGAAGGAAGGAAGGAAGGAAGGAAGGAAGGAAGGAAGGAAGGAAGAAAGGAAGAAAGAAAGAAAGAAAGAAAGAAAGAAAGAAAGAAAGAAAGAAAGAAAGAAAGAAAGAAAGAAACTCCTCACCCTTCAGTGTGATCAAAAACAGCTTACTGCCAGGTCCCCCTTTCCCCATATGAATTAGATGTGTCACCTAACACTGGTAAAAATGTAACTGCTATAAGTGAATCTCTGAATAATATTCTCAAAGCACTAAACTGCACTTGGAACTGGAAGGGACATTAATATCACTTGTACCCGTTGACTACATAGGACAAGGCCAGACTTCCAATTCCTATCCTTTGCCTCAACAATGATTAGCTGGATTGCTTGTCCCTACTGATGAATCAGAAATGCTTATTGGTTAAATTTGGTGAAGGTTCTCTCTATCCTCAGAACCCTGACCTCAACCCCAGCCAGCAGAGAGCCTCTCCTGAGAAGAAGCTGGCCCTAGGGTAAAACCCTCTCTCATTTACTATCCCATATGTCTTTCTTCCACCCCACTCCTCCACACCAGTTCTTACTAGCTTGTTTATTCCCCTGTATAAAAGAAAGCCCAAGCTTGGTGTGGTGGCTCACGCCTGTATCCTAGCACTTTGGGAGGCCGAGATGGGCCGATCACTGGAGGTCAGGAGTTTGAAACCAGCCTGGCCAACATGGTGAAACTCCATCTCTACTAAAAATACAAAAAAAAAAAAAATTAACTGGGCATGATGGCACATGACTGTAATCCCAGCTACTCAGGAGGCTAAGGCAGGAGCATCGCTTGAACCTGGGACGCAGAGGTTGCAGTGAGCCGAGATTGCACCATTGCACTCCGCCTGGGTGACAAGAGAGAAACTCCATTTCGAAAAAAGAAAGAAAGAGAGAGAGAGGGACAGAGAGAGAGAGAAAGAAAGGAGAGGAAGGAAGGAAAGAGAGAGAAAGAATGGGAGAGAGAGAGAGAGAAGGAGGGAAGGAAGGAAGGAAGGAGAGAGAAAGAAGAAAGAAAAGAAAAGAAAAGAAAAGCCCCTTTTGCCTAACCCTTGAGATGCCTGCAGATCTTATGGTCAGAGCATTCTTCTATTGCACCCATCCTCCTCCCACTATTCGAATAGCCCATCCCTAAGCCCCTGCAATAATCCTTTCTAATAACGTCTACTCTTACTAAATTGAGATTTATTTTTTATTTGACAGGGTTTTTAATGAGAAATGCTTTTTACGAGGTTAGAATAGTTCTGGTGGTTGTTCCTTAGTCTCTCATCACATCTCCTTTATGACTTGGAAAGATAAATTTAGCATGGAAAAAAATGTGATTATTAGAAAACAAAAAGAATTTTAAATCATGAAAGAAATTTATGCAAACAATAGGGCAAGACCTAGTACATAAAAAGAGTCAGTGAAGCGAATAAAAACAACAACAAAACAGCACCACCACCACCACTTAACCACAAAGTGAAACAATTTACATAATGATTTCTTGCTTTTCTTCTTCATATTATTGAAAGTTTCTTTGTTCATGTTATCTCCAGTGGTCTGTTAAATGTTTGCAATGCCTCAGTGCTCCTCTGAACAACTTTGTTAGGAATGAGAAGTGCTCTACCTATCAACAACAAAGGCAGCCGAATGGCTAGAAATAAGTTTGTTGAAAATACTTCTTGGGTTCTGCCTTACCTGTCAATCACAAAAAGAAGGTGGAGAAAGGAGGCATGCTTATGGCATCCCAGTTTTAAGGAAGAACATTTTAGCAATAAGCAAGCAGTCACCAAAAGGATTCAAAAAGGCAGTGGGTTTAGGGTGCTTTGTTTCACTGTGAACATGAACTGTCATAAATGCATATCTGATATTTTAATATCAGATATTTGGTTAAAAAAAAAAAAGTGAGGTAGGAGGGTGCATTTCATTATCTCTCCCAGATACGTACTGGCCATCTGGTGGGAAAGAAAACAGGCAGTCTCAGTCCAGGGACCAGAGGATCTCCTTTGTCCCTGTACATACACGCAAGAACGCACATATTACATTATCCAGGTAGAGAGCACGTGGTAGGTTACAAAGAAGCCATGAGGAAGAAATAGGAAACCTGAATTGTAGTTGCACTCCTCTCAATATCCTCATCAGCAAAATGAATGAGTTGTTAATAATTACAATTGTACCAACTGTCATACTTTGCCATATGGCTTGTATATGTGTTTGGTATTTTAAATCTATAACATACAGTCATGTGCCCCATCTGCATCAATCATGGCATGTGTATATGGTGGTATTTTGTATTTTACCCTACTTTTTAATGTTTAGATACAAAAATACTCTCCATTGTGTTACAGTTGCCTGCAGTATTCAGTACAGAAACATGCTGCATGGGTTTGTTGTCTAGGGGCAATAGGCTACACCGTACAGCCCAGGTGTGCAGTAGGCTATACCATCTAGATTTGTGTAAGTATACTCTATGTTGTTTGCACAACAAGAAGATTGTCTAACCATGTGTTTTTCAGAAGTATGTTGTCATTAAGTGACACGTGACTATACATAAATATGTTAATAGCTTGTAATGAAGACATAAGCTCTAATTCTGATCAAGCCTAGACAAAGCAACTTACATACATAATTCTTAAAATAAAAACCCAAGGAAGACGTTAGTATTCCTTGTTTCTGGAAAAGGAGCCAAGACCCTGGGAGTTAAGTGGCCTTCTATGAGGCCAGATGACTGGGCCAGGACCCACTACCTGGCTGACCCCAAAGTTCACCCTTTTATTCATTCTGCTGCATTGGTTGTGACCTAGAATATTCTGTTGTTTTTCTGGTTTAGAGAAACAGAAAGAAGACTCAGAGTAGACTCTGAAATGTCCACTCCCCACACATTGCCCAGAGCCACTGGAGGTACAATGTGCCAGGCACAGCTGTGTGGGCAGCAAGGCACGTGGAGCAGGAAGCAAAGGATGATGCCGAGGCACGGGCCACGTGTGCAGTGCCCGAAGGGGGTCTCCTCTGGTCGTGGCTGTGCACCAGTGACAGAAGGGTTTACTTACTATGATACTGGAGACCACCATGATCACTGACATTTCCTTAATGATGCACAAAATGAAGCGCACAAGTATCCAACAAATGACCAGAGAAAACGCTAGCATACTTCTCTGAATGTACACTTCAGAGAAGGAGGGAAATGCTTAAATGTAATATTTTAGATAAATCACTGAATACAATTAGTATAGTAAGTACACTATGGATTTGATGGTATGTAGTAATACGTCTCTATGGCAAGCTCATCTCCTGGAAAACTGGAACTACATTTGTCCACAAGCCTTTCTCACTGAGCAGGAACACAGCTTGCAGGTTGGCCGACTCATCTCCCCAGATTTTATTTTCTATTTTATCTATATTTTTCCTGGCTCTAATTTGTTTCTGTTTTGTTACATTTTATAGATTCCTACAAACCTCTTTAACTATTTTGTAATGCAAGATATTTGAGCATAAATCCCTAAAAGACATATTATTTTATGATGTAAAGGTTTCATTTTTTCCATTTTATAGATGATTAAATAGAGGCCCGGCATGGTTAAGCGGCAAGCCCAGAGTCAGCCATCCAACGCAGCGCAGAGCTGTGATACAACCCACTTCCACTCCCACGGCATCTCGGCTTCGTGGGAGTTGAGGAGCGTCTCAACTGCATGTCAGGAGAACCCATGAAAAGGAAAGAACCCAGAACAAATGGGTGAGAAAGTTCAAGACTATGTTCAGCGTAAGAGCAAAAGCCTCCTGAGAATTCTGCTTGCAGCCCATTCCCAGGCATTACAGTGCAAAGCTAATTAGGGAGAATGGCATGAGTAGAAGACCACCAAGACCACCAGCTGAAACGGGTGTTCTCATGGCCTCCAGTGGGCTCGACTATTTTTATATTTTTAATATTTTGGTCCAATCACTACTCTATACAACTTAGCTGTCTTAAAACAATAAAGCCAAAACAAAAATAAAACAATAACCCAGGCCTCCCAGATGTTGGCTTCAGTCTGTGTTCACAAGTTATCTTCCTAATATAACAGCATGAGTACTACTTCCCCATACTGTTCTCATGAGATCTATGGCCAGGTCCAAGGTCACATCATAGTAAATCTTTATGAAGGTTAAGAAATTTATAACATTTGCATTTGTTCACGAATGTCAATAATCCCAACCGGCAGGTTTTACGCTCAGGTTTGAATGACACTTTGCTAACCAAGCCATTAAGGTTTGTTTCAAGGAGTCGGGGGAAGCTCCCCAGCAGCTCTGAGCAAATGAGGAGCCAGAGAAAAACAATTAAAAATTTTTTAAAATAAGATCTTTGAAAGTATATTATTAATTCTATCATCCAATAAGTGTTTTCGAAGACTATGCAAATGACATCTTGCGGTATAAAAGCTGTTACAGAACAGACCTTCCAACATTTCTCAGTCTCCTTCTTTCCTTCCCACGCATGCCCTATGTGTGGACTGGCAGCAATGTTTTTACTTTTAAGAGGAATTTCATCATTTGGGAAAAATTTAGAGATATTAACGAAAAATTGCTATGTGTCTCATGGCTACCTACTGATTAGAAGCAATTAACTTATTTCTATTTTGAAAAATTAGGCTAGCAAATGAAGCCTGTGGGAGAAGCATATTTAATAAATATAGAAATATTAATTGTAGGAAGTAACAATAACACCATGCAAAGTTGTCCTGTACATTGAAAAATCATACTGATTGTTTACCTCCTTATTCACAGCAAGGGAATCAAGACCATAGAAGTCAACCTGTAGCTGTATAATTGCGTCCAAATCCCAGTGAAGAGTAAATGCTAAAGCATTAGGGTGAACCCATTAAAACTGAGAAAAGAGAGGGAAATAAATCAATACTTAAGAGTAGAGTTACCTACCAAAGTACCATTCAGTTCAACACATTTGGAGGCCTCTTTTTCATATATGATGAGTTTTCACTCATATACACTGATAAAAAGGTGAAGCATAAAACATCTAGAATGATGTTTTGAAGAAGGTGAAAGAATCACTGTGGTGAAGACTATAGAACTGCCCTGCCTCCATCTCTCCTAGGCACTTTAGCCATTTTACTCTAAAGCAGATTTGGAGTTGACTTTTTAAATTTCCTTTCAATGTTAGAAATTTAAATTAGAAAATGTATGTTAAAGTTGATTAAAACTTAACAAGTTATTCTGACCCATTTTCCTCTTCTACTGCAATTCTGTCTAATGTCTTTTATGATGCCTTTACAATTACTGTTATCATCATCATTATTATTTTAGTCTATCATGTAGGAAAATATAACTGGATTTTGATTTCCTTAAGAGGTTTTCTACATTATTTAGATTTGTGAAAGAATGTTATTGTAAGTAAATAGCACCAAATCTTAAGGATACAATATATAACTGCTAACGCAAACAGTATTTGAGAAATGCATCTAGATATTCATTACTTTATTAAAAAAGACATAGAATTGGCATAATAAATTGCTAGATAAAGCAATTGAGTAAAGTGTAATGAGTTCAAGTAGAGATAAGATCATTTTATGGAGATAAATGAATTAGAGAGGTTGTGATTGAGAAGTGAGAAGTGGTTAAAGTGTTTTAAGACAAATTATAATATCTAGGTCTTATCCCTACTTATATTGATAGGCATGATTTGGTGGGAAAAAAAGAAACATTGTCACTTTAAGTATTTCCCTATCCTAAATGAAAGCTACTTTATTCAAGAGTATAAGCTACCCTAAGTTTCTTTATTTTAAACTTTGAATGCTTCATCACACAAATGTTTATATTTTAATAGAAATGTATTATGTCTGATGATATCCAACATATATATACAGGCTATTGAATTCTATATGTAGTAATAATCATGAAACTCAGTGTTTTCTCAATTATATCAGCAAATTCTCTAACACAGATATGCCAGGTTTTCTTCAACTTTGATGAAGTCACTTTAGTTCTAGTAAAGTAGAATTCCTTCTAGAAGGAATTTAAAAGAAGCTGAATTTCCTGGCTTCCCCCCACCCCCAACAAGCACCTATATAATTTATCAGTCCATATTTCAAACTACTTTATTTATTCAATTACAACACATTCCATGGATAATTCTAAAATAAACTCCCACATTTAAAATTAAGGAGCCACAAAAGACACTTTTAAAATAAGAAATTGCATAAAGAGAGAAGAAAAAATAAAATTTTTCACAACCTACAAATTACCACCAAGTTTTACATTGAGTTTGACATTCCTGGTATTCAGAGCAAAATATGGACACAAAGACTCATGCACACACTGGGTGACCTCATTTCACTGTTGTATGTGTGATTCCTCATTCTAAGTATAGAATCCAGGAGGTGCGGGTCCCTTTGTCCCCACCAGGAAAATGCAGTTTTCCACAGTGTTAAGGTTGGTTACCTTTTTCCAATGGCAGAAAATGCAGGCCAGAAACTGAGAAAGTTGCTCAGTTCATACAGAAAGCAGACTGCCTAACATGAACCTCTTAGTAGTCAGAGCGACATATGCTATTGAAGTAATGTGTTCCTTTATTTTCTAAATGGATCCTTCCCAAGTAAAATGTACCTAAGTACATAAACCATTTAGTGGGAATACATACACAAAGAGTTGCCTCCTAGATGTAAATGCCTCTTGAACAACAATCAACTATTAACTCATGCAAAAATATTTTGATAACATTTTCACAATTATCTGCTAAATTAAAGGAAACTACTCACAGCAACAAATGCCATCAACATCTGGCAGTGAAACAACTTTGAGGTACATCTGGACAAAAATGACTCATGTCTACCCTCACCTGTTGCAGGCTTTACACCTACAGAGAGGCAGCTCCTCTTTGCCCCAACATATTTAGTTTCTGGACTGCATTTTCGCCTTCTGTTGCAAAATGGCAATCAACCTTATTACCGTAGAAAACTGCATCTTCATGGTAAGGACAAAGGGGTCTGTACATTCTGGAATTATATTCAACACTTACATTTACATGAAAGAGCCTTGAAAACAATAGAATAATTAGACATGTTTGTGAGATAATTATGTCATGTAATGATGCCTATTACCCAAAGAGCTGTTGGTTCCTTAAAAAAAAAAAAACATTTATCAGCCAATCTTGCAGACTTGTAGGATCTGAAGAACAGCACTGTTCTCATCAGAGCTAAAAGCATATGCTATGAATGGGGTCCTCCACATGGCAATGACCGCAATAAATTACCAGTGTGTGTTCTGTTTTCTTGAGATGGGCTCAATTTATCATTTTATTGAAAAGGTTCCATTATGCTAATGTCTTACAAAATCACATTCTGCTGTTGCTGGAAGGTCATGAGGGGATATAAATTTTTGCATTTAGAACTAAGAAGTTGTATAGCAGTCACAGACTCCAAGGGTTAATAAGAAGCCATCAAATTACATTCAAGGACTTATCAATGACAGCTCTTCAGCATGCTCTCCTAGTTAACAAAAGAGAAAAAGGGGAATATTGTTCCAAGCTTAACATCACACACACAAAAATGCTTCAAGTATAAACGTATTAAAACTTGGTTTTAACACAGGTTGATCATTTGAAAAAAAAGTCATTGAAATTTTATCTGTCAGTGTGAAGTATCAGTATAACAGGTACATTTAATACGAGTTTAATAGAGGTTTCTAGTACATAGTACTCAGTTTGTTTAAATTAGCTACTATCTTCAAAGACTTTCAAAGATAAGTTTGCTGAAGATCTACAAAGAATGCAAAAATTAATATGCATATTTTAGTGTAACCTCATTGTGTCTATAAGGAGGATAATGGAGATTTTTGACTAGCATCAAATCCCACATCTCAGTGAGTTCTTAGGGAAAAGAAAGATGATGAGCTAATTATTCAATGCAAATTAGATATTATTCCTTAGAGAAATGTTTTGTTTCCATCTTTTCAAGAATTACTGTTTCCTTCCAATCATGAAGGACTGTGGATGTAATTCACGAATATATGGTGCCATCAATCTATCAATAATTTGCAGTTATGGGCAACAACTGTCAAACAGCTGAGTAAAAACACATAAAACCAGATAGCTCCCTTTGGACCAATTATTGTAAACCATAGAAACACTGAGGAAAAACAGTTGCTCTTTAGAAACACTTGGTATATACTTGGCATCCAATTTTGTAATGCAACCTAACAAGCAGAATGTAAACAACAGTAACTGCATTGCTAGATTTGTCATTCTGTTTTGTCTGGTTCAGCAGCTAAGTGGTTACGAATATTAACATTCTACAACATCAGTGTACCTTAAATTCAAGAGGCCATTTTGAATGGATCACTGATTGCATTTTGATGGAATTCCCAGGGAGGTGATGAGTAAGAAGCCAGGTTGTGGTCTAGGGCTGGGCACATTCAATCTTATTCTGTATTAAAGTACAGAGATGGAGATACACAATATGCTCTTTCCTCACCTGGAACTAATTTGACAGGGAAAAAAAAAGCTTTAGAAATGGGTCTAAGATAGTTTGGAAACCCAAGTTCACAAAATTGTGTTTAAAAATATATAAAAGGATTATAGAACTTCTTGACAAATTCAAATTATTATATAAAGTTTCTCATTGAGTAGCTCCAAACACTGTCAAAATTATTTTTTCTGTCAGTTATGTATGTCCTGTCAACAGGTATATGCATTCACGCCAAATGAACAGGCCATGGAAAGTAGACATCTCTTTATTTGGGAAACCATTACTCAAAGATTTTACCAAAAAAATAAAAAAAGATTTTTGGAAGAGCTTGGGGTGAAGTGGTTGTTTTTGCATCAGGGTATATGGAATTAATGTTGATTCTTCCAAATCATGATGACTCTAATGAATCTAATCAAGTACACATAAACACTTTGATCTAATTCAAAGAATATGGAATTTTGAATCAAAAGACAGTGGTTCCAATCTTAGCCTCAATATCTTTTAGCTATGACAGTTTGGCCAACAATTTCATCTTTACTCTCAGTTCTCCATAAAAGAAGGAATGATAATTATGGCCCTAAGAGATAATGTAAGTGTAAATGTTTCACAAACTGTTAGAAGAAAGGGAAATACTTATTATTCTCTTGAGCGTAAAATATTGTATCTCTCTGGTGATGTAATGGTTGCAGGGAGCAAAGTATATTTACCAAAACATTTTACATATTAAATAGGACTATTTTAGTTTCATTCTCTTAATAATCAAAAAAAATTTGAAACTTAGAATTAAACCAAAGAGATTACTGGTACTCTTTCAATGCGATGTAGGTTTATTATATGGGCTATTTTACAACTCGGTAGGAGCAGTGGTTCACTTTTTTCCAGTGGAAATACAAAGAATTTCTGTCCAGTGGAGCAGACAACCTCAAATATTATGGTTTATTGCCCTGTAAACACTTGACAAGATTTGTATCTAGTCTAGCAATCTTATGCTAACATCTCTTTATTAAATTGCATATTTACCTATCTATAATCAAGACACTAATTTTTCCAAAGCCTTTTGAACCAATTTATACAGCTTGCTGCTTCTCACATTAAGTAATAGGTTGAAGAAAATTTTTGACACTTGTACATTTTATATCTAATATAATATCTAATATAATATAATATAAAATAGCAAAACAGCTATTTTACCTTACTGGAAATTATAATTTAATGGTTTTAGAGGTCACGCTCAAATGGACCAAATAACCTTCATTTCCAGGAAGTTTGCCTCATGGACTAATATACTAAGGAATAGTTCCTGAAGTCAGACAGATCTTGAAATCTGCAACCGGGGTTCTCCACTTTTTCCCCTTTTTCTTTTCTGAATTTGTGTGTTTGGTTTTGCTTGGAGCACAGACTCACAATAATCTATTTCCCTTTGGTGGTCACAGTGATTGGGAATTGCCTTGATAGTCTGACTGGCAATCTCTGGACCTGGATGACACAGCTTTATTCTTTGTTGAATAAGAGACAACAGAGACTATGTGTAAGTCACTTGTGTTTACTTATCTCTTGGTGACCTCAGATCAATTAAAAATCATATGCCCACTGGGGAGGAAAACAGCTCTTTGAGGTCTGGACTAATACATTTTTGTGATTCTCTATCTTCTTTTGACGCATGACTGAAGTTGTAGGACTGAAGCTATAAATTCTCTACATGGCTTTGCGTCTACATATCTGTAATTCACAAAAGCTGTTGCCTCCGTTGTGTGAAATGTTTCCCTGCTTGTTGCAGGCTGAATTACGTCAAAATTCCTATGTTGAAGCTCTAACCCCCAGCACCTCCTAATCCAACTGTATTTGATTAATTATAATGAGGTCTTTCGGGTGAGCCCTCATGCAATCTGACTACTGTCCTTATAGGAAGAGGAAATTTACACACCAGACAAGAGGGTATGTAGAGGAAACCCCGTGAGAGGAAACGGAGAAGACGGCCATCTGTACACCAAAGAGACATGCCTAGAAAGAAAGCAAACCTACAACACCTTGATCTTGGACATTTGGCCTCCAGAACCACAAAAAATAGATTTTGGTTGTTGAAGAAAAATAAATAATGACATATACAAATGGAATACCGGCAAAATTCACAGAAAATAAAGCAAACTCTGAGTACTTCAAGTGTTCTAGATTTTTAGGGAAAAATCTCCTCTTATAGAAACTGCTTGCTCAGAAATCCAATCACATACATATGGTGAATCTTTGGACAATGGAACAGTTTTAATAATTTGGGTTTAAGAAAGGAAAAACTTTTCTCTCATTTTTCAGTGTTAAATATGTGATAAGGTTTCTATTTTACATTTTAACAGGTTGGGGTTTGGTTTCCCAGGAAAAGCGTACTTAATCCGAACTTCTCGTACTTCTCAAACTATTTTTCAATCACAAAATCTTGCATTACAGTGACATAATTTTAAAGTTTTTTGAAAAATATACATTTTTAGCTGACTAAATAGAATAATAATTCTGGCAAGTTTTTCTGTAGTAGGTTCTTATATCTTTATATATAACTTGCAAACATGGATTGATCTTCAGACAGCTAGGTAATTTGTATTAAGGCTGAAAACAAAAGCAATGATAAACAGACATAATATTTAGTTTACATATTTTTGGCCCTTTAGTTATACATACTATAGAATGGCTATATTTTTGAGTCACATTAATTGTTTTAGTTTTGCTACTTTAGGAGCCTGTAGCTCTAAAAATTGTACTATATATATTTATAGCTTTGTTAGTCTGCTAAAATGTTTGTGTTTGACACACAGCTCTCCTATTATGACTTTCCAGTTTCTTTGTGAAATCAAAGATCTTATTTTGAATACAAGTTATAATCGGATTTGGTGGCTGAGACTTAAATAGAAGAAACAGTAACAGAAAAATACAACGATTTATCCAAAGTAATGGGATGAGCTTTCTTTTTCAAGAATGAAAAGAATAGGGTATTTTTTCCCTAAAGCAAAGTGTTGTTTTGTACCAGTATATGAAATGACACCGTGAAAGATAAAACTTGAGAGAACACAGCAAGTTGTGGAAAATTTGAGGGAAGTGAATTTTAACTGCTTTTGTTTATAACACCTATGTCTGAAAAGAAGCTATAAAATATATTAAAATTCACCTAATTTTGATTGGCTTATTTGTGAGATAAATTAAGGGGGAAAATGATCTCATAAAACCTATATTTCCAATGCATTAATGCAAAATTAAAAGTAGTCTTTTTCTTAGTTGAATTAATAAATTCATCTTAGAATTCTTACCAAGGCATAGTAAAAATACTATTTTTCCCTTTTGTGTGATATGACCAGAAAGCAGAGATTTTATAACCCACCAGAATAATCTCTGCTTTGTGTTGATTCTAGCATAGTGTTAGAAAATAAAAATCTACAATTATGAAAGGCAAAGTTTCCTCACTTGTGAATGAACCAAGATTCCCTGCAATCATATTACATTTACCAACAATTATTTTTGAACACTTGTTAATTTGATTAAATCGATAATTAAAGGCACCTAGGATTTTATTATAGCCAAACGACCAAGTCTACTCTGACAACTACTTTAATTTCCCCCCAGCCCCATGATCAGATCTAAAATTTAAAAATATAGACCATAAAAATTCAACAATATACTTTATACTTAAAACTGGCTTTAAAATCTCCCACAGGCTCCCTGGAGAGAGGAGCTGGAAAGCCTTAGGTTTGTTTCAAGGGTTTTGTATTTCTTAATCACCTCCCCACTACAGAAGAGCTATGGAATGAGCTGTCAAATCAGAAGGACGCTCAGCCTTCCCTGGGTTCAGTTTGTGTACATGAAATGTTATGCACAGAAATCTGTTACTAATCGAACATTTTATGGGAAGACCAAGGAGAGTCATCAGAGCCCATGCTGTCCATTATATATATGTTCTTACTCTCCGGAGAAACATTGATCAAACTCTTATAAAATAGTCATACACTGTGTCACAAAGGGTTATTTTACACTCGTCATTCTGATATTGCTGGTCACTGTAGTAATTAATCCAGCCTTTTATTAGTATCAAACTGGTTTCTGTCTCCATCTGATGCTTGCCTGAGAACTGTGCTATAAACCACAGGCCTGGGGTTGTATCTTCAGCGTATACTCCTGTTTCCAGACTTCTCAGAAAGGAGTGTGCCAGATACTCTGAACTACTGATACTTCAAAGAATAGACTCTTGGGTACTGGCGTTAGAGCTGACATCAGCTCAACAACTTTCAGACTGTACCAGGGAATGAATCAGAATTTCCAGGACTTATTTTAGTCTGGAAATAGATGTTCTTCATGAAACTAGCACCTAACCCAAGATCCAAAAAATAACAATTAATTACACAAGAACAAATGAACTGATGAGTTAAATTATGGCTACTTATTTTGAATGTTTTTAGTATTGCATTTAATGTTAATTTTTATGGATATATGAAGTTCTCTTTCTTCTTCATCAGTATCACTTTGGATATAATAGACTATTGCTTTTGTATATAATTTTTTTTTTTTTTAAGACAGAGTCTTGCTCTGTCACCAGGCTGGAGTGCAGTGGCATGATCTCGGCTCACTGCCACCTCCACCTTCCAGGTTCAGTGGATTCTCCTGCCTCAGCCTCCCGAGTACCTGGGACTACAGGTGCACCACCACCACACCCAGCTAATTTTTGTATTTTTAGTAGAGACGAGGTTTCACCATGTTGGCCAGGATGGTCTCGATCTCTTGACCTCGTGATCAGCCCGCCTTGGCCTCCCAAAGGGCTGGGATTACAGGCGTGAGCCACCAGCTGCTTTTGCATATAAAATTTAAAAAACTGTAAGTAGTATCTGATTTTTAGCATCCTTCGAAAGGCAGAAAGAAATACTTTTACTGATTCTCCTTACTTTTTCATGAGAACATAGTTATTAACATAGGTTCAATTAGGATTTGTTCTCATCTTACCAGGATACAATTGAACAAATTGATTATGCAACAAAGGATACACATGGAGAATTATATATGAGAATAAATCTCACTTCATCAAACACAGCGGCACGCTAGTCCGGAAAACTGACGAGACACGTAGCTAGTGCCTACGAAGCCCAGTGGACAAATCAGGTTTACTACCTGGCTATTAGAGTCCTGTTCCTGAGAACTTCAAGAAGAAAGGAATTCATCCCAATTTATATATACAGTGCAGGCAAAATATGGTGGAGAGAATGTCTTGGAATTGTTTCCCGAGCTTTGAGAAAGAAAAGCAAATAATAAAGGCTTTTAAAAGTCAAATCTAAGATTCCTTAAAAAAAAATCTCAGGCAGAATTAATTATCTGGGTCAAATTATATGGCTATAGATTTGTAAAGCAAACTCAAGCAGGCCTATCTGGTTAATTAACAGTCTCATTGGAACTATGTAAAAAATAAGGCCATGTTTCATCTGGATGAAAATAGCATTTTTCTGTGATTAAAACAAAACAAAACAAAACAAAACGAAACCTTTGTGGGCTAGGTGCAGTGTTTAACGCCTGTAATCCAGCACTTTGGGAGGCCGAGGCAGAGGGATCACCTTGAAGTCAGGAGTTTCAGACCATCCTGGCCAACAGGTCGAAATCCTGTCTCTACTAAAAATACAAAAGTTAGCCGGGCATGGTTGCAGGCGCCTGTACTCCCAGCTACTCCGGAGGCTGAGGCAGGAGAATCGCTTGAGCCCAGGACGCAGAGGTTGCAGTGAGCCGAGATCACACCACAGGACTCCAGCCTGGGTTACAACAGAGCAAGACTCCGTCTCAAAAACAAACAAATGAAAACCGTTTTGATTATTTATAAGGGGGGGGGCAGGGAATGGAGTGTAAAAAAATAGCCACAACTTAGAAATGGGCCAAATAGACAACTAGATGTCCTTTTGGTGCAGCGTTGAGCTTGTTTTCCTATTGGCAGGGAGCTGTACCACTTTGTAGAGGCTGAGATACCTTGTACATTTTTGTTTGGTAAAGATTTCCATCCAGTGTAACAGATAACCCCAAAGTCAATGGTTTAATATCCTCCCATTTATTTATCTCTCTCACACACACACACATGCTAGAAAGAACTTTTCCTTTGATCCTTTGATGAGTACACAGAAGTACAGAGAGTTGTATAATGAGTAACCATCCCCCAGATTCAATTATAAATAATGTGTAACTAGCTGGTTGTCCCACTTCCACTGATCCTAAGATTGATCACATGGCATCAGCCAGATTCCCTTCACTTATATCAACCCATTCACTTTCATCTAATTGTTTCATCTATTTATATCTGTTGGCAGAATAAAGTAGGACTTGCAAAATGGTGAATATCTAATTTCGCAATGCATCTCCAATTATTGTCTGAAACTTCTCTGTAAAGAAAAATTTTCCTCAACTACTAGGGCTATTTGGTTACCTTGAAATAGAATTCTTACAGGAAAAGCTAGATAAACCCTTATTTTATTTTTTTAATTATCAATTTCCTGAGTTTGATTTTAGGGCTCTAGTTATTTCCAGGAGTTTCTAATGTATTTGGGTTTTTTAGCAAAATTATGACTTGTTAAGTCTTCAATAACTTTTTTGTCTTAGATTACACTTGTTTTCATCTTGGATTATCCCATCTTGGGACACTGAATCTTCATTAGCCCCTGTGTCCTTCAAGTATGTCCCTTCTGATTTCATAATCTCCACTAGCTTTCAAATAAGATAGCCACACAAGATACACAAGGTTCATCTTGCATATGATTTGTCCCAGGCCTAAAATCTTCTATTCTTCAATGATTCCTTGTCTTTTTTAGTTAAAAACAGTATTAAGAGACCACAATCTGAGTGGCCACAAACGTACTCCTAGTTAATAGGTTTAGATGAATGATCCAGACACTCTACCTGAAAAGAGGGGAGAGTGGGAGGATCAGGAGACAGGAAAACACTAGTACATGAAGTGTTAAAACTGGCTGCTCATCAGAATCACCTGTGAAACCTTCAACATAGAGATTCTCAGGCCTCAACCATTATGGAATATGATGATCAAAGGGGAGCCCAGGTTATGTAAAAGGCCCTAAGGAAATGAAGTCACTCCGGGGCCCACTAGGCGGGAGTGCTGAGTTACAGTCTCCAAGCAGCCACATTTCCAGACCTTGGGATCCAGTATATTAGATATGCTTAGCAGTTGAAGAATTTCTTTCTTATCTTAAATAGTAATACATATTCATTCTAGAAAGTTCATATAAACCAAATATTCGAAATAAAAATAAGTCACAATCCCATCACAAGAAGAAACTGCTATTAAATCTTGCATCTGCATTTTAATATTCTTCTTTATGTATGCACATGCATAAACGGGGATATATATGGTTAGTTATTTTTTATAGAGTAAGATCACAAACTACTCAGTAATTTGGAATTGAATTTTGTCATGTGGTGTCTTTCCATGCCATTAAATAATATTCTCAACATCATCTTCAATGGATCCATAGTGTTTCATTTTATAGAACTGCCAAACATTCAGAACCTATGGTTGTACCTCTTGATAGTTTTCCATTTTTTACTAATATAAACAGTGTTGAACATCCTTCTAGATAATCTACTGTGTATATCTGTAATATAATTTTATCATAAACTCTGAGAGTATAAATGACTAAGTCAAAAGGTCGAAATTGCATTTTCTCTTGTGAGAATTCTAAAATAATTCCCTATCAGTTTAAAGTAAGAAAAGTCTAGGGCACATGAAAAGAACTAGAAATGAAGAAGCAAGTGTGCATAAAGAGGGAAGGAAACATGCTGACTCTTATCTTTTAGAGCTGTCACACATTGAATTTTAATGTTTGGGGAAATAACCAATGTAGCTGTTAGGAAGCTGTGATTCAAACATGGTAGCACTAAACGATACATCACTGTATTGGGGGCAGGTGCAACATAAACCTCCCATGGATATTTGTCAGGTGAAGAATTCAGGAATAAGGTTTGCCTATCTGTATATAGAATTTTGAAGTCAGGGTACCTTCTAGTGTTGACTGCAATGGTTAAGTCATCTGTCTGTCTCTGACAAAAGAGCTAGACCCTGCTTCAGGAATGCAAACTTCTCCCACTGCTATGGTCTGACTGTTTCTGTCCCCAAATAATTCAGATGTTGAAACCTAATCACCAATGTGATGGCATTCAGACATAAGAAATTTGGAGGTGATTAGGTCATGAGTATGGAGCCACCGTGAATGGGATACGTGCTCTTACAGAAGATGCCCTGGAGAGCTGCTGTGCTCCCTCCACCATGAGAGGGCACGGCTGGAAGGCACCATCTATGAACCAGCAAGCAGCCTTCGGCTGACATCAGCTTTAAAGGTGCCTTGTTCTTTCACTTCCCAGCATCTAGAACTGGAAGAAATAAATATCTGTTGCTTATAAGCCACTGACTCATTTTGTATTTTGTCATAGCAGCCCAAAGGGGCTAAGACACCCACAATTGGGAATCTTGGATGAGAATGAACTATATTTCCCATTTTCAAAAAGCTTATCAATGAGTGAATAAACAAATGTTGTTTTCATTCATTTAACACATATTATTAAGTTAGTAAGCATCAACAATGTGCCCAGCACTGTGTTAGGTACTGCAACAGCCCAGAGTGAGAGGAAATGCCCCTGCTTCCTGGAGCCTGCCTTCCAGCGGGCAGCCTACCACCTGCGTGTGCTATTCTGGTGGCCAGGACGCTGTTGTCTACAGTAACCTGGTAAATTAACTATGTTAAGAGAGTACTTTTTCTTTCTTCACAGAAACAAGAAAAATTATTTGCCGTGGAGTCCAAGAGAGGAGCATATCTATCGAAATGGTAATTGAAAGAGAAACTGGAAACATCACCTGTATGAAAAATAGTGGATGGCTCTGTTAACGAAACAGGCATGCTGGTGACAACAGGCAACAAATCTAATCTAATCTAATCTAATCTAATCTAATCTAATCTGTTTCTCCATAATAAGCAGCAATCATACAACCCACTAAATGACTGCTGTTGCTTGTCACTGAAGATGTCCATATTTTACTGGGACATAACATTTCTTCTTGGCATGAAGAGAATGGATTAAGCAAATGAATAAAAGCTATGGTTCTACTTTACCAGCACAAATGGACAAATCCAAAATAAATAACTGTTACAGCAACTATGCTAACCGTATTAATTAAAATATGCAAGGTATACTCATTCTCATTTTCATAAAAGGAAATCCTAAACGCTCAATTTGAAGTATGTTTCCTCACTATTTGTAGGAACTTCTAGTCCTAGAATTCTTGGTCCACCTTTCCCCAAGATTGTATTCATTTGTTAAATATGAGACACCACCAAAATTGTAATGATGCCACAATGGGAGAGTTAATGAAGTAAAAAAATATTAAATGAGTCAACTATTATTAAAAAAGAGGCAACTTCATATCCATCAATTAGAAATCAAAGAGTCTGGCTGGCTATTTATCATCAAAAATCTTTTATTGGTATAAAAAAGTCCACACAATAAGCAGCTTTTTAAAATAACCACTCAGGCCAGAGTATCACTCACCAAGCTGTGACTTTATGTTCTTTGTAACAATAAAGAAATTACATGGCAAACAACAATCTGTGAAAACTTTCAAATCATACTTTCCTAAGCTATCGCTCTAGATTAAAATGTTTGCCTTAGTTTTCAGGGGGTTAGAGAAGAGTGTCTTATCTCCAAACAGAACAACTTCATGAAGATGCATACACACTTTCTTCTTGCAGCTAAGGAAGGACCGTCTTTGACTAGGTAAAGATCCATGTATTTGAATCATGAAAATATCCAAAAAGACGGGCTGGGCATGGCGGCTCACATCTGTAATCCCAAATACTGGGAGGCTGAGGTGGGCAGATCATGAGGTCAGGAGTTTGCCACCAGTCTGGCTAACATGGTAAAACCCTGTCTCTATTAAAAATACAAAAATTAGCTGGGCATGGTGGTGGGTGCCTGTAATCCCAGCTTCTCTGGAGGCTGAGGGAGGAGAATTGCTTTAATCTGAGAAGTGGGGGTTGCATTGAGCTGAGATGGCACCTTTGACTCCAGCCTGGGTGATAGGGTGGGACTCCATCTCAAAAAAAAAAAAAAAGGAAATATCCAAAAAGACACATTAGCAGGACTCAGTTCCCAGTGTGTTGTTTGAGGCACTGACCCTGATCTGAAAACAGTGCTCAGTTGATTCAATCTGAATCTGTGTCCACCGTCTTCCTGCTCACTTAGAATAAGAGCTGTGTTTGCATTGCACAATGAACACCCACTTGCTGAAAGCTAACTTGTTCCTAACTGCCCCCATCCTTCATCCACTGCCAGAGCCAGCTTTGTTAAGCCCCCTGTGACCTATATCTGTGACCTATCCCTAGCTAATCTTCTCTTTCAAAATATGAAGTGGGGTACACACTCATCGCCAAAGGGTCCTTTGAGCAAGTCCCAGTAGAAAATTTATCCACTTTTTGGATGAAGTACTCAAAAAAGAGTACTACATTTCCCAACATAAAATGGAAAACAAATACATATGCCATACATCATTCAGGGCTGGAAAACAACGAAAATGTAACACTCCAGAAAAACAGCCATGGGAAGTATTATTCCTCATGCCATCCATCATTATCATAGAGCACCCACTATTCTAATTTAGCTCCAAATGTGTGGTGGAGGTGATCAAACTTTAAAATTAAGTAAACAAAGAGATTCATACAAAAATAAAATAAAATAAAATAAAATAAAATAAAATAAAATAAAATAAAATAAAAACCCTGACCCCAAAACTAGAGTAACCTGACGTCTCCCAAGTATGGGTTGGGGACCTAGCACCTGTTCTGGGGGCAATTCAGGCAGGTAGCCCTGGATCTGTAAACCTAGGTAGTATTTTAGAGCCTGAGCACAATATTGGGCCTTTGTACATGTGAACTAGAAAGCAAAGGGATAACTGAAATGGATAACAGATAGTCAGCACTTGGTATATTCCAGGCCTTTCTCTAGGCCCTTGTCACGAAGTATCTGACATCAACTTCATGAGTTAGGTACTTTTTCCTTATCTCTGTATGAGAAATGGGGAAACTGTGGCCTGGTATGTTTAAAAACAAAACAAAACAGTGCACTATTCACTTGAGGATCTTATTAAAATGAAGGTTACTGATTCAGTAGGTCTGATAGGGGGCCAATGATTCTGCATTTCTGATAAACTCCCAATTGCTGCTGCTGGCCCACAGATCACACTTTGGACTGCAAGAAAGTAAATTCTCCGAGTCCTAGAGGTAGCAAGAAGTAGAGCCAAGACGGGCTAAGTTGCTTGGCTCCGGGGCCCACACTTACTGCCAGTCGGCTTAGCATTTGCATGGCAGACACATCACAGCCCAGGTACCATGAATGCGCTCAAGGATTCAAAATCAATGTCTGTCACCCTTTTTGACTGCATTTTCTAGCAACAAAAATTCTGTATTCAGTGCGTAGTATATACCAGGAACTGTGGTAAACACTGGTTCAAACGATTTTCATTTAATCCACTGAAGTAAATTATCGGCCATTTGATTCCCTTCTTACAGGAAGCAAATCACAACCCCACTGATGCACTGGGACTCTAGTGAGTTTAATTATCATGCACAGAAAAGATTGAGCATTAATTTGCAAAGAATTAGAATCTAATAACACACCTCTAACACCAAAGGTAGTCAACCTTTGGGGATTGAGGAAGAATTGTAAGATCTTACAGAGCATCAGAGGTATCATTTGGAAAATTAATTATAGTCAAATAGATGAAGAAGGTGTAGGAGTTTGGGCCTGATTCTGTGAAATTATCAAAAAGTACTCTAAAAAAGAATGTAGTGATATTTTCCTTGTCATAAGGGTTTCATTTTCTATTATATAATAGATATTTTATTAATTCTGTTTTTCTTACATAAGTAGACCATAAATTCTTGATTTATGTATGAAATGTTTGGAAGCTACAGGTCATACAAAATAACACCTTCTATAAAATTTCACAAAATTTCCATTAGTCCTTATTTACTCAGAACAAATTTAGAAAGATTGAAAAGAGTGTATTACAGACAGTTAAATTCTACCACTTAATTTGAAATTTTTTCTTTATCTTCCCTTTAAGAAAGTGGAATCCAGCAGCCTGCCTGCATTTTTGGCAGACTCTGCAATAATTACGATGCTCAGATGATTCCCAAGATGGACCTCCCCAGCTGTAAATACCCTGCCTCCACGCTCATTCCTGTCAAGTGCAGATCTCCCCATCTTGGCATATGGGCAGTGTCCTCTGAAACACTTCAGGGTTTGAAGAGTAAAAGATGTAAATGATTTGCTTCACTGGCCATGTAGGCCTCCAGGAGAGGGACACCCAGACACTACCATTTGTAGAGGCCTGTCGTTAGAAGAGCACACTGTCCAGCCAGGCCTCATGGAGTCTTGAATGCAATGTCTCCCTTCCCCTTGAAATCACAATATGACCTTGCAGAGGTGACTTCAGAAAAATCAAAACATTTTGAGGCTCCCTACAAGTACTTTACTTAACTTCAACAACCAATGCTGTCATTTCTCACCTACTCTCCCCCACAGTTACTTTTTATTTCTTTATGTTTCAAAACAGATAACCAACCACAAAAAGCAAAACAATTCCCACAGAGGCATGAACCCAAACAGGCACGAACAAAAGCACAAGGTAGACGGGGCCAGCCTCAGCCTGTGCTGCCCCGGCATGGTATTCCTCTCCGCAGCTTTTTGTCAATTGCATGCTGACACTCCTTCCCGCTCTATTTCATGACATGTCTCCTCTCCTTTTGGAAGCATATAAGCAAAAACATGGGGCTGGGTGTGGTGGCTCACACCTGTAATCCCAGCACTTCAAGAGGCCGGGGTCAGTGGATTACCTGAGGTCAGTAGTTCCAGACCAGACTGGCCAGCGTGGCCACAGTTTTTCTTTTTTTTTTCTCAAAAGCAAAAAATTCTGAAAAAGTAGTATACCTTGTGATATAGTTTTAAAATCTGACTACTTGGCTGAAATCAATTAACATGACTCTTCAAAAAGGTCCATTTTAAGACTATATCTACTTTCTAACCAAAACATCTAGAGGAAATGCAAAATTTCCTTTCACCTGATAGCTATATTCAGGAAAACACAGGCTACTGGATATTTTACATAAGCTCTGAAGTGAGACGGTCCCTGGGTACGGCTTGAATTGTCTGGGTCGGTTCCTCAAGTGGTCTCTGCAGTTTCCTCATCTATAAAGAGGATATGAACATGGTCTACCTTACAAGGCTGCAAGGAATTAAAAGAGGTATTTCAGGGAAACAGGGTTTCTATAGTGCCAGGTTTGCGGCAAGCACTCACCGACACCGCCTGCAGGTATGGCCCGTTCGCGATGTTCTGGGCAGTGCAGCAGTTCTAGGATTTGAAAACCTTCCGGGTTGTGTTGCCTCCACCCTTTCCTCCTGCAGTTCCTTCACAAGCAGCCAGCATGAGGCTTCCTGAAGTCAGATCATGTCACTCCATTGTTCAAAAGTCAAATTTTCTCAACAGGGTCAAATCCTGGGCCCAGCAGACCCTACCTGACCTCTCCACCCTGCCCTTTTTCTGACATCCTCTTCTCCGAGCTCCACCTGCTCCAAGCTCCACCCCATACTGGCTGCTGCGTTTTCTGGGCGGGGGCCTGCCTGGGGCTCACGAGTTGCTGTCGCCTCTGCCATTTGGCACACAAATGGATGCTCCCTGAGGGTGCCCTCCTCACAGTTTAGCTCATCACACAGGCCTCGCGGCTGCTGTATATTACGGAACTCCCCACCAATACTCTTTGTCCCCTTGACTCTGCTGTTTCTCGATAGAACACACACTTACTAGCTGCTCCAAATAGAATAGCTCCGTTGAGGTAGGCATCTTGTCTGTTTCTATTTTCTGCTACATCCCAGTACCTGGCACTGTGCTTGGCACAGAGTAAGGACTCAATCGTTATTTGTTTATGTAGTTCGTTAACTGTATGACGGATATTGGAGGAGCCTCCTATTTTTTTGCTAGGTCCAATAGCTTCATCTCATCTGTCAGGAGATGATGAATGGCGCCTCATTTAGGAAACACCAATAACACATGAAGGTAATTTACACACAGGCACCCTGGAGCCCAGGTGCAGCTCAACGTTCTTATTGAAAATGTAGTAAAAATAGATTTTATTCACTGACCATATTTTAAGGAATACTATTTTTTACTATTTCGGGCAGTACTACTCAAAGCACAGCCCCTGGGCCCGCGGTGTTAGCATCACCTGGGAGCTTGCTGGAAACGCAACTTCTCAGCTTCCATCCAAGGCCAACTGGTCTGGGCCCAGTCATCTGTGCTTTTATAGGTCCTCAGGTGATTCTGATGAGCACTAAAGCTTGAGTGGCACTGCTGTAAAAACTACTTCAATGACTCGTTCCAGTTCTTTGACGTCCTCTTACAAGTCTTTAGTGTGACATGCTTGCGTTCTTAGTACCAACAGTGTAACTGGTTCTTCATGTACATCATGTTATCACCTCTCATGTTGACCACTTATCTTTTGCCAACTAAAAATACTTGAAAGGCACCTTCTCGGGTTTCAGAAGTTTCCATTTGTTTCGACAACATATGAGGCTACAGCCCAGCTATTCACCCATTAGAGCCCTCCCACGTCCAGCCAGCACTTATATTCTTCGAAGTTAAAATTGAAGACTCTGGAAGCACAGAAAATTGGGATTTCTTTTAATCTCTTTTTCTGAGGCACAGGTTTTCAAACATTGTATAACCAAGGATTTTTTTCATCTTTTCAAATGATAGATGTTTTATGTGTTTAATATGTGAAGTACGTAAAGAGGAATGGTCTCAGGCTGCTGTGATTGGCTTGGTGTGTTCACCTCTCACCGACCTGCCTCTGTTCTCCCACCCAGCGTCCGATTGTTCCGTGAGAACAACAGGTAGGATCCATAATTGTAAGGCTGGAAAACCTTAGCCATAGGGCAGAGTTTCTCAGAGTATGGTCAGTACCAACATTTTGGGGCCTCTACCCCCAGACAAATACATCAAAATTTCTGGTCACAGAAAAAGAATGAAAGAAGATTTTTTTTCTCGCCATTCTGGCCATCAAAGAAACATGGAAAAACATGCAAGATAATTCTGCACATGAGAGTCTGTGAATCTCTGCTCTAGTAACTTTACGCTATCATTTTTAGTGAAGAAAAATAATCATATAGGCATACTGTTTGCATATAGTCATTTCAAATCATTCCATTCAGTCTTAACTCAAACCAAGAATGAACCAAGACATTTGAAGAGATGAAATCTCAATTTCTCTGTATAATTTTAAATAAAGCATTCGCTCTAAAAGCTAAATGCACAGGAGTTCTGTTGAATGACTGACTATGTTTACAATTTGAAGCAATTTAGTAAACATGTATCACCACTCTTCTAAGAGATTTTGGGGAAAACTACAGTTAATTGGACAAAAACTCCATCCTCAAAGAGATTAAAAGGTGAAGTCAGAACTGGAGTACAAAATAGCAAGTAATAAGGGAGAGTCCTAAGAGTTCTGAAAAGGATTCCCTCCAGTTCTAATGAGCAGGAGAGGATTACTTGTAGTTTAGCTGTTAGTTTAACACAGAGTTAAATCTGAAAGTTGACCTGGGATGCACCATCTCTCTTTTCCCAATCTTTACAGATGCAACATATCTTTACAGAGGCCTTTTAGTAGCAGCATGTAGGGTGCCAGGAAGTTGCCCCCAGTGTGTAGTGGTGCAGGGAGAAGTGTTAGGATGGCAACCCTGCAGCCCCCAACTGCACCATGTAGAGTTGCCTGAGCCAGTCCCTAGCCTGCCAAAAGCACAAGGCTGGCAGGCCACAAGACAGAGGGGTAAATGAGAAACAGGGTGATCAGAGGTTAGATGTGACTCAGACATGAGTGGAAAGTCAAGGTGAAACAGCGCATCATCATAGATCATACAGTACTCTGAAGGCTGCTGTCATTTACCACATTCCATAAATTTACTAGAATTTATTCTCTATTGTTTGGGTTGAAATAATCACACATTTCAATTTAAAAATATAAAGAGAATATTAGACATTTAGCAGAATTTTCTCAGTGCCTACTGGTACTTCAGACCCTATATAGAGAGAATACTATATTTTCTTAAAATATTATGGTCTAGAGAGAGAGAGAGAGTCAGTTGAAAGTGTCAATAATTCTAAGTTCATTCTCATAAAAGAAAATTCTGGAGAAGACCAAGGGCAATTTTATGATAAAACAAAATAAGAAGACTAAAATTTTCAGATGAATATGGTTGATAAGAGAGTAGAGCCAGATGCACTAGGAAATGTATTAAAGAACATGAATATGTACACAACAGGATTCTTGTGCTCAAATTGTTTTTAATATTCAGATAATAAGTAAAGGTTTAATTTTGCTCTAAACAATGTGATTTTTTTATTTTTAGTAAGAATTTTATTTTGGGAAATCAAATTAAAGAACTAGTAGATAGGTCTCCTAACATAATAAATCCAATCTGTTATACAGTTGTACAGGAACAAACATAGTAAATATAGGGTTTGGTACCATTTTTGGTTTCAGGCGTACACTGGGGGATTTGAAACGTATTGCCTGTTGATGGGGAGGGACAACTGTACATGTGAGACACCCAGAAAAAATGCATAAATCTCAAAGAGGTGCCTAAAATTCAGGCTTGAATACCATCTTCAATGGCAAAGGAAGAAAGGGAGAGGAGAAGACAAGAGTAAGGTTTGTTAGGCAGATTATTCAGTTGGTGCCTTCTCAAGGATCAGAGTCTCCAGAGACTCTGTCCTCCTCATCCTAGTAAGGAGAGGGAGACACCCTTACAAATGGAGACTTCCTTGGTAGATATAAATTTCCCTTACAAAAGGGTCACTTCTACTCTGTTTTTAGAGCTTTTCCTGTGTCTACTGTTTCTCAAAATAATCAGCTTAAAATAATACTTATGCTAAAGTGGCATATTTTGGGGTGGCATATTCTGGTCTCATACACACTCAAGGTGGAATTTTCCATTGTTTGGTTTATAATGTTGGAGCATGAGTATTCTCTAGAGGTGTCAGTGTCAGAATGATCTTATACATACTCTGGTTGAAACGTCAGAATTGTTATGGGCTTGGGTTCGATATTTATATTAATATATTATTCTGGTCACAAGAGTATTGCAGGGGTTTAGATTTATCTCATTTTTCCCCATTTTTGACATTTATTTCCATTTCTCAATTTTTCTTTCCAGACCTGAGGTGCCCAGCTCACATGAAGCAGAGCCTCTTTCCCTCCCACAATCATCTCAAGATCACCAGAGCATCAGTTAATGCCTTACTTTCTGGGCTTATCTACTCCTGTATTTAAAGATGTTGTTTCTACATTTTCACTTGTCCTTGGAAATTATCTTTTTTTATTTTTTGCAAGATCATCGAAAATTTTTAAGTTCCTTAAATTTTATTTAGTAAGTTTAGTAGGAGGCATTTCTTATTATGTTAGGCTTCCATCTTGCAGGCCCCAGAACTTTCTGACACTGTGAAGGCCATACCAGCCCACAACTGCCAGGATCTATTGTATGTGGGAGGAAAATCAACTTCTACCCTGTAAAGTCATTGTGATTATTTTGTGTCTTCTGTCAAACACAGTAAAAATTAATTCTATTACACCTTTGACTATTTAGATTAGAGAATAAAAGACTAAGAGGCACATATTAATTTTTTTAAAATAACTAAACAATAACAATCTTTGCCAAAGAAAAGCATTTTGAAATGGGTGGTAGCATAGAGAGAAGGAAGAGTCCTTTCACACTAAGGATGTCATTGCCATTGGCATATCTGGCTTTAGAAACTACAAATGGCTCGATTAGCTTTAGAGTTCTTTCTGCTTTTTAGAATTTTTCTACATCACTAGAAACATATCTCTTATATTTAATCTCAATATGAAAACCTGTTTCATAGTACTTACAATAAATGCATTCTCAAATGTTACATCAAAGTACTCCACCTACAGTGATGTCTCCTTGTAGTGAATTAGAGACTCCAATCCAAAACGTATCATAAACTAAATATGCACCCGGTGAGGCCATGCTCCATGCAGACTGCACTAAACAAACAAACAAAATGCTTTAATAATCTTAGAGCATTCCAATTACCTGGACTTCCAGCTGGTGGTGAGTCCTTCCTGCTGTCAGTGTGCAGAATGACAGCCAGCCCCACAGAGTCTCCTGGGAGGACTGAGCTGCTGAGGTCCACCCGAGTCAAGCTCTGGGGCTCCCGCTCACAGCCTCCCGCCGCGTTTCTGGGGTCGTCGCCTCCAGTTGCATTCATTTCTTGACCTTTTCTCCACGGTCTCTGCACAATGTGAACAATGCTCTGCTGATCCAGGTCACAATTCTGTTTGGGAGCAAGGTAAAAAAAAAAAAAAAAAAAAAGGAAATGTCAAACATGAAATGCGAGATAGAGTTTAACTTGCCCTCCGTGGTAGAAGGGAAGCAAAAGTGACATGTAACTGACCAACTTAGGTGCTCCTTTGCCCACAGCAGTTACACACTACACACGGTAGACAAACAACACTGAACTGGGGCCAGAAACAGAAATTTGGGAATACGTGAAACACAATAGAATGCTGACGTCATATTCAAAAGGACATAAAATCTAGCAGGAAAAAATAATTACCAAACTGGATCTATAAGCACAGTGAAAACAATAATTCCTTTTTTCCCCCCAAGACAGAGTCTCACTCTGTCATCCAGGCTGGAGTGCAGTGGTGTGATTTCCGCTCATTGCAACCTCTGCCTGCCGGGTTCAAGCAATTCTCCTGCCTCAGCCTCCCGAGTAGCTGGGATTATAGGCGGGCACCACCACACCTGGCTACGAAAAATATTCTTAAATAGTAAAACTGATTGACATCAGAATTGATATGTCATTCATCTCTGTTTTACAAAAGTACAGAAAGTGAGTTATTATCAATGAGAGGGCATTTCTTTAAAGCATCGGAAATGAATGCGTTTGAGTAGGCTCCACACACACCGCTCCACGGGCACCAACACACACATCATTACACTGGTGGGGAAGCAAGACAGGAGCACACTCTTGCCACCCAGGGTTCATTCTCTTTCTGACGATTTAACCATGAAAACCAGCTAACATTTACGAAAAGGTTTTGCATCTACATATTGACACGTAGGAACAGAAGACTTTAACATTTTGTAGCATAAAAATTAAAAGTCAGATTATTTGCTAGCACAAGAACTAGGCTACCCTAAATGGAATTCTAGTTTCAGAATATCTACTACATAGGGCCGGCCGCGGTGGCTCAGGCCTCTAATCCCAGCACTTTGAGAGGCCTAGGTGGGTGGATAGCCTGAGGTCAGGAGTTCGAGAAGAGCCTGACCAACATGGCAAAACCCCATCTCAACTGAAAATACAAAAATTAGCTGGGCGTGTTAGCGTGCGCCTGTAATCCCAGCTACTCGGGAGGCTGAGGCAGGAGGATCACTTGAACGCCACCCCCACCCCCCCAACCAAAAAATAATATCTACTACATAGAAGCAGTTACTCATATGCTTGCTACCCTCTTAAGACACAGCAAGGACCTTACTCTCTCAGTAAATCGATGTGGCCGGCCGCAGTGGCTCACACCTGTAATCCCAGCACTTTGGGAGGCCAAGGCGGGCGGATCACTTGAGGCCAGTAGTTTGTGACCAGCCAGGGCAAAATGGTGAAACCCCATCTCTACTAAAAATACAAAAAAAATTAGCCGGCTTTGGTGGCATGTACCTGTAATCCCAGCTACTTGGGAGGCTGAAACAAGATAATTGCTTGAACCTGGGAGGCGAAGGTTGGAGTGAGCCAAGATCATGCCACTGCACTCCAGCCTGGGCAACAGAGAGAGAGACTCTGTCTCAAAAAATAAAATTAAATTAAATTAAATACAAATAAACCAATGCCTTTCAAATACCTCTTGCCATTGTCATTTTAGGAATGCTCCAAGAACACTCAAGTGAAATGCATCCATAACTCATAGCGATGAATGATGCCCTTCCCTGCTGCTTTCTCAAGCTCTTCTGTTGCCCTCACCATCAATGTCCCTCGAACAGTGGTGCCCAGCACTCACCAACACCCCTGACCCCAAATACAATGGCTAGAATCTGCCTCCTCCACCCAGGAGGGCACCAGGACACCCTTCGTCCTTAAATCCCATTCCAACCTCTTCTCTACTCTTACACCCTGGGGCTCCGTCTCATCCCCAGGCCCTGTGCCCCTCCCCATTCTCAGAGCTCCCAGTCTCTCCCTAGGACTGCTCCTACTCAGCAGAGGCCACTGTGCATCATTCTCTGACCTGAAGTGCTCCCCTGCATGACTTCCCAGTTTCTGTCAAAGGAAAAACCATCCCCCACATCACCCGCTTCGAGCCTTCCCCTCCCACCTAAAAATCTCATTATCCTCCCATGTTTTGTAACGGGCTGCAAGAGAATCACTATCTTGAATTCCTCCTACCTAATCTTTGACATCGGCAAGGCACCAACAGTTAGCAATTCTGTCTCAGAATTACCCTTCACATCTTCAACTCTTTTACATCTCAATAGTCACCTCCCCGTTTTAGGCCTTCCTCATGATAATAGCTTTGTAATTACTCCCCACATCTGATATCGCCATACTCCAGTCCAATACATACAAGAATTCTGGGTGTGTGCTACATAATCTTTCTAAAGTGTCTCAGTATTACTTGTAAAATGGACTGTAACATCTCCCATGTTCTTCAAGTGTGTTTGTACTTTTTTCCTTTCTAAATCATGATCTAGATTTGATTTTTCATCTTCCTTACCCCTCCTATATGATACATGTGGCAGATTAAACTATTCTTCAAAATCATGCACGCCTGTACATTAGTGCGCATACATCATGCTCCCCACTTCCTCCCTGCAATCTGTGTCCAGCCACATGAATGGCTTTGGCCAAAGGGATGTTAGCAGATGTGGTTGAACCAGGGCCTTATATTTGTCCCGCTGCTAAGGTCCATCAAAAGAACATCCCTGCCAGGCACAGTAGCTCACCCCTATAATCCAAGCACTTTGGGAGACTGGGGTGGGCGGATCACTTGAGGTCAGGAGTTCAAGGCCAGCCTGGCCAACACGGTGAAACCCCGTCTGTACTAAAAAGATAAAAATTAGCCGGGCATGGTGGTGCGTGCCTGTAATCCCAGCTACTCAAGAGGCTGAGGCAGGAGAATCACTTAAACCCAGGAGGCGAAGGTTGCAGTGACCTGAGATCTCACCACTGCACTGCACTGCACAGAGCAAGACTCCGTTGCAAAAAACAGAACTTCCCAGAAAGCTTCTACCTGTTCACACATGGCCCAGACCTGAGTCCAACCCACTGAGGTGACCAAGTGCAGCCACACTCACAGCATGAAGCAGGGACCCGCAGCTGAAGCCAGCCTGAGGCCGCGGGCACCCTCGCTGACCTGTAGGCACATGAGAAGATGGCATACTTTTATGGCACTGAGATTTCTGCTTGTCCTCTAATCAATAATGGCAGACAGTCCTCTATTTTCCATTCTATTTGGACAAGCTATCACTGTCCATGATCAGCTCCGTGTCAGGCAGCACTCCTCCAGCTGTGCACAGCCTCTAGCCTAAGTCGTTTCAGAGAAATGGGCATCAGGATCCGAGTATACTCAAGGACTTGCACAGGAGCATGTGAGCTTTGCCACAGAAGGAAAAGTGGAGAATTAGCACCCTAGCCTATCTTGAGGTTTCTATCCACATTTTTTCCCTACCTTTCCATGTTCAGGACTCAGTTACTTCCTGTGATCCTCCTAGAGAAAAGTAACACCTTTCTCCCTCATCTGAATCTAAAAATCTTTGCTTACTGTGCTCTTCTTATTGCAGTGGTTAGAGCTTGGACAGTATATACATATATATTGTGTGTGTGTGTGTGTGTGTGTGTGTGTGTGTGTGTCTGTGTCTGAGTCTTATCTTCCAACTTATTTTAGAAATACTTGAGAGCAGCAACTTGGCCATAGTAGCATTCATCAGAACACCTCACACAGTGCTTTGGAGCCAGGAGATGTAGAAACATATCTATGAATTCTAAAAGTTTGAAAAAGTGAATGACTGAAGGGAAGTAAGAAAGAATGAAGGAGTGAATGAATCAATGAATATAAACAGTCATAAGCTCAGTGCCCAAAGTGCCACAGAGGGAACCAGCAGAACAAGAAAGAAAGGACACAGAATTTAAAGTCAAACGGACTCAAGCTCTACATAATTTATTAGCTGTATGAATTTTGGCAAATGATTCTTCCTTTCCCAGCTTTCTGCCATTGACAATAATATATCAACTTTGAAGGCTGTTTTGAAGATTTAAGGAAATGTAAAGAGCTCAGATCCCGATCCGCAATGATACATCGTTGGTAGTATTGTTACCATTTATGAGTTTCAGAAAACTAAAGAGGATGGGTCCCTAATCTTGTACATGAATAAGGTGTCAGAATTCTGTTTAGCTGCACACTTCTGTTTGGAAAATATACAGAGAAGGCAGAATAAGCAGAAGCTATCAATGTGACAATCTCTCTGGTAGCATTCCAACTTTCTGTGAACTAAAAATCGATACAAAAAAATAATTCCTATATCACCATATAGCCAGATGCCATGAAACACGTGAAGAACCTGAGTGAATTTTCAGGGACAGGTAAAATGTGACAAATGTTGATGAAATCTAAAAGATTTCAAATCCAGATTTTCCTAATGCTCAGGGTACAGCTGCAAAGGGGAAAAGAAAGTTCTCAAACAGATTTCAGTAGTTACAGTGATACTTATAGGACGCATTTCCCTCAGTTGGCATCCCTGTTTCTGAAATCATTAATTGCTTAATCTTTGACTCTTACAGAAAATCTTCTTGGTTCCAGAAGCGGTGCCTTTGACAGACAGTGGACTCACACACCACACTGGTTCAGTTCAAAGCCACATTCCATGGACAGTACATTGGATACAGTCCAGTTGTACAGCCACGCAAAAGCCCCAAATACTACTTAGTTCTCCTAGTATACAAAAAAATTCCTCAGATGTGGGAAGAAAGAGATTTTCGGTGGGAAGACATCAGAGTGCTCCAATATGGTTTCAGGCTACCTTAGAGCAGAAACAATGTCTTATTTATCTTTGTTTCTCCAATAAATAAAATATTACCTGTCAAAGAGAAAACCCTTAATACAATTCTTTCTTTTTTTATAACAATATATTAATCCAACAAGTAAGGCAGTAACAAATTCTTCAGTGTAGACAAACCAAGTAGGTATTTCTGTAACCGGGTTTGGTCTTACACTGTCAAGCACAGCTGATGACCCATGGGAGACTGAGGGATCAGTATCTTGGGCTTTCTGTCTATAGGATCCTTGACATGGAAACATACCAGTATTAACAAAACATCCATGGGAGTTTTTTTTGCCAAACAATGATCAACTCTCATCTGGTTGGACATTATCCAATAATATACAAAAAACTGATGTATTTTTCTTTTTCCAAAAAGAAGTTCCTTCAACGGCACATAGTTAAGATCCAAATATTTCAGATTCTTCCAAGCACTTAATAAAGAGTTACAAATATCATCTCTAAAATGATTAATAATGAGATTCTAAAATTGTTAACAATACCACATTATTAATACATTGTTTTCAGGAGTTATGAAAATAGTTATGTTAATAATAAAAAACATATAGAATATACTTAGCCGTATATTGCAGACCATTACAGGTTTTGAGACATAATAAATTATTTATTATTCTCACACTCTGATGAGGGAATAACTATCACCATCTGCTATGTCTCAATGTGTCCTCAAAATTTATTTGTTTCAACTTAACCATCAATGTGATTGCATGAAGAGGTGGAGCCTCTAGAAGGTGATTAAATCATGATGGGGCAGAGCCTTCATGAATGGGATTAGTGCCCTTATAAGGCAGTGCAAGTGACTTTCTGTCCTTTTTGCCCTTTTAGCTCTTCCCCTCTTCCAGCAAGTGAAGACACAACAAGAAGGCCCTCACCAGACACTGAATACCAACACCTTGACCTTGGATTTCCCAGCTTTCAGAATTTTATAAATTGCCCAGTCTCAGGTATTTTGTTATAGCAAGACAAAGAATACAAGACAACATACATAAAGTTAGTGTGTAAACAGAGCTAGAAATAGTGTGTAAATCCAAGAGAACTGTGCCTGGCACAGATAATGCTGTTTTACAGATTACTTATTGTGGTTGCTGTTGATTCCACTTTATAGAAGACAAAGGGGAGCCACAGAGAAGTTCACGATGGGTTCAACAACACCCAGCTCCCGAGTGTGAAGCCAGGGTAGGAACCCAGGCCATCGACTCCTCTGCTGGTGTTCATTGACTCTGCTGAGAGGAAGTGGAGACTTGGATGAGGCAGACAAACTAGGACAAGTCTACAGGGGCCCATGGTGAAGACCAGGGTTTGGATGCTGCAACGGAACCACCCCAGGTACGAAGGAATGATTCAGAGAAGAGCCAGATAGCTGAAATGTTAAAAACATGAGAAGACAGGATCTGGGACGGGGCTGTATAGGAGGTAGCAAAGTAAAGATTAGTCCAGTGTGATTTTAAAGAGGAAACAAAACAAAACAAACAAAAAGGATGAAAGTAAGAACAAGTGGGTTGCAGAGGAATCAGTGAGAGTATGGAAAGTGAAAAGAAGATGGTATAGGTGAGCTGGTAACACACCTCGCAGACTCCGGATGCTGGTGCTGGCTCAAGGTAAAGTCTGTACCTCTGGAGATCCCGTCACCCCAGGGAAGACTGCACTTATCACGTCGTATTGTAGTTTCTTTGTATGCGTTGCTCTCTGTTACCAGACAATACCGTCTTTAAGAAAAAATACTGCAACTGTGTCTGTAGTACCTACTGTAGGGACCTGTTCATAAAACACACTCCCCTGTGTCTACTGAATGACTCTATGATCCTTTAAGCACATACCTAGAAGTGAGGAAACATTCCAGATGGCGTTAGTAACTTACCCAAGTCAAGTCTGATGCATAATTGGGAAATGAAAGAGCCAGGCCTGCAGCCTCAGTTTTCTGGCTCTGAGCCCAATGCTCTATTTCAAACATCCCACCTTGGATTGTCCACCTCTCTGTGCTCACGACATAAGTAGACATGTTGGCAGAAGTGCCCAGCCAGTGTGCTTTTATCAGCATACTGATCAGTCTATACTCATTGGCATACTTACTGTACCACTGTCTATGGTCTGTAAAGTAGGTAGGGCTGTCTTCAATATCTTCAGTATCATTCATTCATTTTCAGTTCCTTCTAAATCTGTTAAACTCTATTTCCTCATACAAAATGCTTAAAATCATTTCAGTGTATGGCCAACAAACATATGAAATAATGTTTAATATCACTAGTGATCAGGGAAAGGCAAGTCGAAACCACAATGCGATACCATCTTACTCCTGCAAGAGTGGCCATAATAAAAAAATCGAAAACAGTAGATGTTGGTGTGGATGCGGTGATCAGGGAACACTTCTACACTGCTGGTGGGAATGTAAACCAGTACAGCCACTACAGAAAATAGTGTGGAGATTCCTTAGAGAATCTAAAAGCAGAACTACCATTTGATCCAGAAATCCCACTACTGGGTATCTACCCAGAGGAAAAGAAGTCATTATACAGAAAAGATACTTGCACACGCAAGTTTATAGCAGCACAATTCACAATTGCAAAATCGTGGAACCAACCCACATGTCCACCAATCAATGAGTGGATAAAGAAATCGTGGTATATGATGGAATACTGCTCAGCCATAAAAAGGAATGAATTAATGGCATTCACAGCAATCTGGATGGGATTGGAGACTATTATTCTAAGTGAAGTAACTCAGGGATGGAAAACCAAACATTGTATGTTCTTACTGATAGATGAGAGCTAAGCTATGAGGACACAAAGACATAAGCATGATACAATGGACTTCAGGGACGTAGGGGAAAGGGTGGGAGGGGAGTGAGGGATAAAATACAACATATATGGTGCAGTAGGTACTGCTTGAGTGTTGGGTGCACCAGGATCTCACAAATCACCACTAACTAACTTACGTAAACAAATACCATCTGTACCCCAATAACTTATGGGAAAAAAATCATTTCAGTGGAAGGCTGTCAAACTTTCTAATGTGTAATAACTTTACATTTTAAAGACTGAACATTTCTGATTTTTATTTGGATTTTTAATAGACTACATTTTCTATCTAGAAAAGGAATACAATCAGCCAAGAATGATCAGACTAATTTAAAAATCAATAGTGTTAACAGATTCTAATGTTAAAACATTTTTACATTGAGTTCTTTCTTAAATAACTTTGAAGACACACTTTTAATAACACCTTAAATTGTCCTTTTTTGTGCTGAACAATCTTGGCATTCTTTCTATTTTTTGCTTCTTCTGAAAATAACTTCTAACAAACAGATTTTTTTTTTTTTAAGGCAGGGTCTCACTCTGTTACAGCCCAGGCTGGAGTGCAGTGGCATGATCAAGGCTCGCTGCTGCCTCGAACTCCCAGACTCAAGTGATCCTCTTATGGCAGCCTCCTGAGTTGCTGAGACTACAGGCACACGCCACTACACCTAGCTAATTTTCTAGTTTTTTTTTTTTTTTTTTTTTGTAGAGATGGGATCTCACTTATGCTGCCCAGGCTGGTCTCAAATTCTCAAATTCCTGGGCATAAATGATTCTCCTGCCTTGGACTCCCAAACACTGGGATTCCAGGCCTGAGCCACTGCACCTGGCTTTAAGCAGATGTGGTTGGAAGCCCATCACAGTTTTTAATAACGTATTTTCTATGCCAAGAAAAGACAAAACGGCAATGATTTAATAAGTTAGGCCGAATGCAGTGGCTCACGTCTGTAATCCCAGCACTTTGGGAGGTCAAGGAGGGCAGATCACTTGAGGTCAGGAGTTTGAGACCAGCCTGGCCAATGTAGTGAAACCCGTGTCTACTAAAAATACATTAAAAAAAATTAGCCAGACGTGGTGGCACAAGCCTGTAATCCTGGCTACTTGAGAGGCTGAGGCAGGAGAATCTCTCGAACCTGGGATGTGGACGTTGCAGTGAACCAAGATCGCACCAGTCCACTCCAGCCTGGGTGACAGAGCGAGACTCCGTCTCAAAAAAAAAAAAAAAGGTGTTATTTAAAGGTGTTTTTTAATGTAATGGCTAAGAACTATTTTGTTTGGTCACTGCTAACAATGAAATGTGTTTCAAGACAAGATGAGCCAGAGATGTTCACAGTAAGTCAGAATAATCAAAAAGGGAATTGTTCCCAGTGATATTTTTTCACTTGAACTCCAGTTCCCCTCCATAGTTTTCAATGAACACTAAATGCCAATTTATATTAATTGGATGAGAACAGAAACTATCCTTTCAAACTGATCCTTCATTTAAAAAAAGGGGGACTTCTAAAAGATGAATATTTGTGATTTAGCCTTTCAATTTATTTCACATTTCTTATGACTGATTTTCATTATGATCAAAAATATTATGCTGTGTAAAGATACTGAAAGGCCCCTTCTCTGGTTCCCAAAGGCAGGCAATACAATTACTGTGAAAGGTCAATTAGCCCCACACTAATTAGCCAGTGCAGGCCTGGGCCTTGTCACCTCCATGTCCCTCCCACCACAGGCCTGAGACCTTTCTGCTGCTCATGAGGATCCTACACCAGAGGGGCTCCATAGGGGGCGGGAGGGGGGACCGCTCAGGAATCACTCGGTTTGGCTACATGCCAGCAACTGCAGTAAGTGATTTAGTTTTGAAGAGCAGAGGACAGTGCTGTTTGAGCATGTAGGGTCGGGATTTCACTTCTCTGGGTTCCCTCTTTCATGAATACAAAGGATATCGGATCACCAAAGCTATGCCCATTAAACCCACTTTAAAATTGTGTTTTATATTGTCAACATTGCAAGAAATGCCTCAAGTATCACTTCTTTTTTCTTTAAGTATTATTTTATTACTAGTTGTGATAAATATTATGAACACTTTAAAATATATATATTTTATTTGACAGAATTAAATTAATGTTTTTAAAGCCATGGAATACGCTGTATAGAATTACTGGGGTCAGGGTTTGAGAGCTTAACAACACACGCTCTTGATGAAGCTGACCCGGAAACTCAGGCACGTCGGGGAGGTCAGCACTACCCAACAGAACCACATGCGAGTTTATGCCACGCTTCCCAAATTCCAATGGTTGCGATTAACACTCAAAATCATATACCTCCGCGATTGCAAAACAACATCTGCGCAAGGTGTTTACTGTGGGATTATTTATAATAGAAAATTATGGGCTGGGTGCGGTGGCTCATGCTTGTAATCCCAGCACTTTGGGAGGCTGAGGTGGGCAGATCACCCGAGGTCAGGGGTTCAAGACCAGCCTGGCACACGTGGCAAAACCTGGTCTCTACTAAAAATACAAAAATTAGCCGGGTGTGGTTGTGCGTGCCTGTAATCCCAGCTACAGGCTGGGAGGCTGAGGCAGGATACTCGTTTGAGCCGGGAGGCGGAGGTTGCAGTGAGCCTAGATCGGGCCACTGCACTCCAGCCTGGGTGACAGAGTAAGCCTGTGTCTGAAAAAAAAAAAAAAAAAAAAGGAAAAAAAATTTTCAGAAACAAGTGAAATGCTTGACCATAGAAGACAAGTACAATCTGTGAAGAAAAAAGAAAACAAAGCAGAAAATAGAATATAGTAAGGGACTTTCTATGTCAAAAGCAAAGAAAATTAAGTACATACAAAAGTAGCTGTTTTTGTAAAAGGAAACGTAGAAAGGAAAATCGAAGTTAGTGAAAATGGTTACCTATGAGGGAGTAGGGAAATGGGTTAAAGGGATCGAATGGGAGCCATGTTTCCCTAACGTGACTATCTACAGTTTCAGGTGTGAGGCACAGAAAATGTTTCACAAAATCACAACAATACTTACTAAATAAAAAGGAGAAAAAAAGCAAACTCTAAAACTGAAAATTACCAGAAACATATTGAGCTGACAATGTCAGTACATAAATAAAAGTAGTTCAAGTAACTTTTGGACACAGTGCTCTGTATATCCTTTAGTACAAAAAAAGGAACCCAAAAGAAATTTTGTACTTTATTTACTAAGTTGATTACTGGTATGATATAGGTGTAGGAATTCAGAAACTATTTGTATTTATGTTAAGATGAAAAATTACTAAACTTACTGATGTTTTTGGAAACCGAGTTTTTCACAGTGGCTGAAGAAGGTGAGAAGGAGCTTCATGATGTTGGAGTTGAAATAAAGGAAACAAAATGTACTTATGAATTTTTAAAAAATCCAATTCATTGAGGGGAAATTACTCACCTATCCAGAAGTTGCAGAATAATGAGACCCATGTATATCTATTCATCACCTTATTCAACAATTATCAACTTGAGTCCAACCTTGTTTTATCAGTATGAATTATCATGGATAAATGATATTATCAATATCACTACCCACTTTCCCTTCCTATATTATTTTGAGGCAAATCTCAGATATCATATTATTTACTCAACAAAAATGATCCATATGTATCTCTACGAAGGAGGAATTTTCCTATAAAACCTAACTAGAATACCATTAGAGGAACTGAAAAATTACAAATAAGCATTTAATGGCATCAAATATTTATGTGTCCATAATTTTAATTTTTTCCAAATCTGTTTGAATCGAGATCCAAACAAGTCCATATTTTGGGACTGGAAGGAATGTATATTATATCTTCTTGTAATTTAATTAATTAATTTATTAATTTATTAATGTATTTATTTATTTATTTATTTTGTGAGACCAGGTCTCCCTCTGTCACTCAGGCTGGAGTGCAGGCATGATCAGGGCTCATTGCAGTCTCGGCTTCCAGGGCTCAGGGGATTCCTAACCTCAGCCTCCCCAGTAGCTGGGACAACTGGAATGTGCCACTACATCCAGCTAATTTTTTGTATATGCCATACAGACAGGGTTTTGCCATGTTGACCAGGCTGGTCTCAAACTTCTAGGCTCAAGTGATCTGCCTGCCTCAGCCTTCCAAAGTGTTGGGATTACAGGCCTGAGCTACTGTGCCTGGCGTTCAATGTTTTTTTATTAAGACATAACTAATATATTGTAGTTCTCCCTTTTAAAGTGTATAATTCAGCAGTGTTTAGAATATTTGCAAGGTTGTGCAGCCATCAACACTCTCTAATTTCACAACATTTTCTCTTCAGTTGCTTTTACAAGTTCCCTCACCCATCTCTCTTCCTGTTTTTACAATTAAATTTGAAGAAAAATGGGTTAATCCATTGTAGAATTTCTCATAATCTAAATTTTGCCAGTTGCATATGGGTGGTATTACTGAACAAGTTTCTTCATTGTCCTTATTATAGAAAATTTTATATTTGTGGCCAGGCACAGTGGCTCACGCCTGTAATCCCAGCGCTTTGGGAGGCCGAGGCAGGCGGATCACAAGGTCAGGAGATCGAGACCATCCTGGCTAACATGGTGAAACCCCGTCTCTACTAAAAATACAAAAAATTAGCCGGGTGTGGTGGCAGGTGCCTGTAGTCCCAGCTACTCGGGAGGCTGAGGCAAGAGAATGGTGTGAACCTGGGAGGTGGAGCTTGCAGTGAGTGGAGATTGCACCACTGCACTCCAGTCTGGGCGACAGAGCAAGACTCTGTCTCAAAAAAAAAAAAAAAAAAAAAAGTTATATTTGATTCTACAGGCTTGACTAGGTTTAGGCTTAATATGTTTTGCTGGGATTCCTGTAAGGGTGCTGCTTTGTTCTTCAAGAAGGAAGCACTATGTGACTATGCCTGAGTCTGACTACATTTGGCTGTAGTGTATCTTCTTTATGGAAGATACGCTAAAATTGTAAAATGGTGATCTTTTAATATTATCACTTCTTCTCAAACTATTAGATAACATATTTCTATCAAGATAAATTTTCCCTCAATAGCTATTTTGTTACTCAGAGATAAATTTTGTATAGGAAGGCAGAATAAATGCTCTATTATTTTCTTGGTTTATACATTTTCAAAATAAGTTGACTCTAGCAATGAATAAAAATGCAATTTTTAAAAGCATTATTAAAAAATTATAGAAAAGGCCGGGTGCGAGGCTCATGCCTGTAATCCCAGCACTTTGAGAGGCCAAAGCAGGTGGATCACTTGAGATAAGGAGTTTGAGACCCACCTGGCCAACATGGTGAAACCCTGTCTCTACTAAAAATACAAAAATTAGCCAGGCGTGGTGGCGGATGCCTGCAATCCCAGCTACTTGGGAGGCTGAGGCAGGAGAATTGCTTGAACCTGGGAAGCAGAGGTTGCAGTGAACCAAGACCACACAATCGCACTCCTGCCTGGGTAACAAGAGTGAAAATCCGTCTCAAAAAAAAAAAACGAAATTACAGACACACACATATTAATGATGTCCATCGATTGTACTTATTATTTTGATTGGTGGTTATCTATAGCTAATTGGCACATCTTAGAATGGGATCCTGAACTGTGGCAGAGGCGCAAGAGTCTTTGGTAGCTTCCCTGCCATCCTGTATGACAAGAGACTCCAGTCTGCTTTGAACACTTTTTGTTCTAGACCTGTAATAAATCATTTTGACAAATAAAAATGGCATTTAAAGATGACGATGTGGATGGTTAGAGATACTCATTGCTAGTGGATTCATAAACGTCTGTCAGCTTTTTCAGTGACAAGAGGTATGTTTTGTTCGTTTTTTAAAGATAAAATACATCACGAGTTCAATCTGATATTTCCCATTCAAACCGAGGAGTAGAGGGTTTTAAATAATCTCCTTCGTCTTCCATCTTAATCTTCTTTTCTCTTGTTCAAAATCGTGAAAATGAAATGATTAGATGTCACATAATTACTCATTATTTTAGACTACATTATATACACAATGTGAATGATACCATTAAATTGATTACTAATCATAGTTTAAGTTTTTCTGCTTGTAGTTCTTTTTGTCTTGGGATGTACCTCATTAAAGATGTATAGTCAAACTGCTGTATTCTAAAGTCACTTGGAATAATGTGGCTATGATTACAACTAAAGATACTTGCATTCATTTTTTTGACTTTATTTTTTATTCTTAGAACTTTCTATTTAAAATATTTAATTCTGTTTTATAATTATGGAAAATATTTTCAAGTTTCTAAAGTCAAACTTTAAAAACATAAAATTGTCAAAGATGTCTCACTTCTACTTTTGTCTGTTTAATATATTCACTATCTTTTTGTTTGTTTTTAGATTTCTGCTTTACCTCTAACAGAAGCTGGTGTGTGTGTGTGTGTCTGTGTGTGTGTGTGTGTGTGTATTTAAGCACCTCTCTTAGATAATTGATAGCATGTTATATACTTTTTTCGCTTAATTTCCCCTACAATTAATTCTACAGTAGTATATACACATTTCCTTATTATTTTTCACAACCATACAGTAACCTCACGTGTGGATAAATCATAGTTTATTCAACCAATACCCTATGTTCTATGACAAATGAGGTCCCACTGGCCAAGTTTGGGAAAATATAAATACAAAAAAGAATAGATTGATAACAGGTTATAATACATTAAAGAAAAAATCCATGAATATATGATAATATTAAAAAGTATACGTGTGAGGAGTAAGAAAGAGTTCTTCCATACAGAACAACAGAATAAATATGGCAAGAACTGTCGGCACAGACAATCATATTTTTGAAGGCACTGATATAATAATTAATTCACTCAAGGATCACCAGTAGAAGCTACAGCAAATGGATCCAAGATTGGTGGGAATCGGGATTTTGGCAGTTTCCAAGTATCTGCCCACAGATTCCCTAATAATTTCAAAAGAGGAGGGTTATTTCTGCAATGGGAGATTCGGCAGGCATCACTGTAACTAAGATTCACACGGGCATTGTCAGTTACAAAGGATTCAGCATTAACGACAACAAAGTTTAACCCAAATTTAGCAATGAGGAGACAATAAAACAAATCGAGGTTGCAGGATAATTCTGCAAACAACTGACCCTTACAATTCAAATTTTTGAAGGTGCAAATTAGGTGTGTGTGAGAAGACTGTTCTATACTAAAGCAAAATAAAGATACATGATAACTGAATGTGATCTGTATATTTGACTAAACTTTTGGTCAGAATAATTTAAAAAAATTATCCAAAGCATACAAACAACCTTTAAAACTCATCAGTAAATAAATAAACAAACATTAAAAAAGGGCCAAAGGCTTTAACAGATACCTCACCAAAGAAGATACAGAGATGGCAAAGAAGTAGGCTCCACATCTTATGTCCTCAGGGAGCAGCAAATTAACGCAAGATACCACTACACACCAATTAGAATAAATCCCAGAACAAAGGCAACACCAAATACTGGTGAGGACGTGGAATAACAGAACTCTCGTTCATTGCTACTGGGAATGCAAAACGGTATAGTCACTTTGGAAATCTGGTGGTTTCTTACAAAACTAAACATACTATAACCACACAATGCAGCAATACCTGGAGTATTTACCCAAAGGAGTTGAAAACTAAAATCATGTCCACACAAAAGCCTGCACACAGATGTTTACAGCAGCTTTATTCAGGATTGCCAAAATTCAATGCAACCAACATGTTCTTCATCAGGTGAATGGATAAAGTATCAGACATACAGATCATGGAAAATTATTGAGCACTAAAGAGAAATGAAGTATCAAGCCAGGAAATGACATGGAGGAACCTTAAGTGCATATTACCAAGTGAAAGAACCAATTTGAAAAGGCTACATCTTGTATGATTCCAATTTGAAAAGGCCACATGTTGTATTATACGACATTCGGAAAAAGGCAACACTATAGAGACATTGAAAATATCAGTAGTTGCCAGGGACTGAGGGATGACGGAGGGATGAATAGAGACAGCACAGAGAATATTTAAGGCAGTGAAAATACTCAGGGTGATACTATGTTGATGGATAAATATCATTATACATTTGTCCAGACCCACAGAGTGTACACCAAGAGTGTACCCTCATGTAAGCTATAAATGTGAAGTGATTACAATGTGTCAATTTAGGTTTATCAGCTGCAAAAAATGTACCGCTCTGGTGGGGGATGTTGATAATGGAGAGGGTATGGGCACATTTGGGCAGGGAGTAGATGGGAAATACCTTCCTCTCTATGATGTGAACCTAAAACTGCTAAAAAATAAATAAATAAAGGCTTAAAAAAGCTATAAAGGACAATTTGGGAACAATTGGGAGGATCTTTGAATATGGACTACAAAAGAAATATCATTGTATCGATGTTAAATTCCTTGAAATTTACATCACACATTACAGCGGCTACACAGAAGATTGCCCTTTGCCTTTGTAGATATAGGCTGAAGTGTTTAGGAACAAAATGTCAGTCTATCTGCAATTATGTTTAGCTTCTTGAGAGACAGAGGAAAGGAAGGAGGGGAAGGTGTGAGTGAGGGAGACAAAGAAAGATAAAGCAAATGTGGCAAAGTGTTAACAGTTGGGGACTCTGGAGAAAGGTTGTACAGATATTTGCTATAAATAGATTTTTTTAAAAAATTTTTTAAAGGTTTGAATCTCCTAAAATATCTTCATACTCAGTCACTAAATGGAAAGTAACCACTGAAAATCAGAAATGTTGGCGAGGTGAGGTGGCTCACGGCTGTAATCTCAGGACTTTGGGAGGCTGAGGTGGGTGGATCACTTGAGCTCAGGAGTTCAAGATCAGCCTGGCCAACATGGTGAAACCCTGACTCTGACTCTACTAAAAATACAAAAAATTAGCCAGGGGTGGTGGCAGGAGCCTGTAATCCCAGCTACTTGGGAGGCTGAGGCAAGAGAATCGCTTGAACCTGGGAGGCTGAGGTTGCAGTGAGCTGACATTGCACCATTGCACTCCATCCAGCCTGGACGACAGAGACTCCATTAAAACAAAAAAAAGAAAGAAAGAAAGAGAGAGAGAGAGAAGGAGAGAGAGGGAAAGAAAGAAAGACAGAAAAAGAAAGAAAGAAGGAAAGAAAGAAAAAGAAAGAAAGAAAGAGACAGAAACAAAGAGAGAAGAGAAGAGAAAAGAAAAGAAAAGAAAAGAATCCTCTGTCTTAATCCTGAGTTCTAATTTGATTGCCTTGTGGTCTGAGAGACTGTTTGTTATGATTTCTGTTCTTTTGCATTTGCTGAGGAGTGTTTTACTTCCAATTATGTGGTCAATTTTAGAACAAGTGCTATGTGGTGCTGAGAAGAATGATTTGGGGTGCAGAGTTCTATAGATGTCTATTAGGACCGCTTGGTCTAGAGCTGAGTTCAAGTCCTGAATAACCTTGTTAATTTTCTGCCTCATTGGTCTGTTTAATACTGACAGTGGGGTGGTAAAGTCTCCCACTATTATTGTGTGGGAGTCTAAGTCTCTTTGTAGGCCTCTAAGAAGTTGTTTTATGAATATGGGTGCTGCTGTATTGGGTGCATATATATTTAGGATAGTTAGCTCTTCTTGTTGTATTGATCCCTTTACCATTATGTAATGCCTTTCTTTGTCTGTTTTGATCTTTGTTGGTTTAATGTCTGTTTTATCAGACTAAGATCGCAAACTCTCCTTTTTTTTTGCATTCCATTTGCTTGGTAAATATTCCTCCATCCGTTTATTCTGAGCCTGTGTGTCTCTGCACATGGGAAGGGTCTCCTGAATACAGCACACTGATGGGTACTGACTTTTTATCCAATTTGCCAGTCTGTGTCTTTTGATTGGGGCATTTAAGCCATTTACAATTAAGGTTAATACTACTACGTGTGAATTTGTTCCTGCATTCATGATCCTAGCTGGTTATTTTGCACATTAGTTGCAGTTTCTGGAAACTGAACAACCTGCTCCTGAATGACTACTGGGTAAGTTATGAAATTAAGGCAGAAATAACAAAGTTCTTTGAAACCAATGAGAACAGAGACAATGTACCAGAATCACTGGGACACAGCTAAGGTAGTGTCAAGGGGGAAATTTATAGTACTAAATGCCCACATCAGAAGGAGGGAAAGATCTAGAATTGACACCCTAACATCACCATTAAAAGAACTAAAGAAGCAAGAGAAAAGAAATTCAAAAGCTAAAAGGCCAGGCATGGTGGCTCACTCCTCTAATCCCAGCACTTTGGAAGGTTGAGGTGGGTGGATCACTTGAAGCCAGGAGTTCAAGACCAGCCTGGCCAACATGGTGAAACCCCGTCTCTACTAAAAATACAAAAATTAGCTGGGCATGGTAGCGTGTGCCTGTAATTCCAGCTACTCGGGAGGCTGAGGGAGGAGAACTGCTTGAACTGAGACCTGGAAGGTAGAGGTTACAGTGAGTGGAGATGACGCCACTGTATTCCAGCCTGGGCTACAGAGTGAGACTCCATCTCAAAAAAAAAAAAAAAAAAAAAAGGCTAGAAGACGACAAGAACTAACTAAGATCAGAGCAGAACTGAAGGAGACAGAGACATGAAAAACCCTTCCAAAAAATCAATGAATGCAGGAGCTGTTCACATATACACCATGGAATACTATGCAACCATAAAAAAGAATGAGATCATGTCCTTTGCAGGGATATGGATGAAACTAGAAACCATCATCCTCAGCAAACCAACACAGGAACAGAAAAAAACACTGCATCCATGCCATAAAATACAACTCAGCATAGTATTCCATGGTGTACAAAAAGGATGAGTTCATGTCTTTTGCAGGGACATGGATGCAGCTGGAAACCATCATTCTGACAAACTGTCACAAGGACAGAAAACCAAACCCCGCATGTTCTCACTCATAGGTGGGAATTGAACAATGAGAACACATGGACACAGGGAGGGGAACATCACAGACTGGGGCCTGTCAGGGGGTGGGGGGCTAGGGAAGGGATAGCATTAGGAGAAATACCTAATGTAAATGATGAGCTGACGGGTGCAGCAAACCACCATGGCACATGTTTACCTATGTAACAAACCTACACGTTCAGCACATGTAGCCCAGAACATAAAGTAAAATTAAAAAAAAAATAAGAAAATAAGAAATGCGGTATTACTACAAAATTTTTAGGATGAAAAATTGTATGTATTTCATGCTATCTGTCATGAATTCAGCTATCTAACCTGCTATATCCTACACATAGCTTACAAACTGACCTAAGAAAGGAGGGAAAAATGAAAGCAAAATCCAAAGTTGCTTATAAAAAAGAAATCTTTGTTTTGGAATATGAGAAAGCTATTGTATAAATACAGATTACCAATATGGTTTAAATAGAAGAATTATAGTCAAATACCATAGCAAATGAGTTAAAATTTTGCAGCTCATTACAGTTTTGAGGTCTCTAAAGTGAATAAGCATAATACCCAAAATACTGACTTTGTAGAATCCTAAAATCCAGTTATGCAGTCTACAGCAGCAGTCCTGAATCTTTTTGGCACCAGGGAGTGGTTTTGTGGAAGACAATATTTCCACAGATGAGGGCAATGGGGATGGGGTGTGGTTTGTGGATGAAACTGGTCCACCTCAGATCATCAGGCATTAGTTAGATTCTCGTAAGAAGCACACAGCCTAGATACCTCACACGTGCAGTTCACAATAGGGTTTGCACTCCTATGAGAATCTACTGCCACTGCTGATCAGACAGGAGCTCCAGCGTCATGCTCATCTGCCCATACTCACCCCCTGCTGTGCAGCCCAGGTCCTCACAGGCCACAGACAGGTTCTGGCGCCACGGGGGTTGGAGACCCCTGGTATAGAGCAACGCATGGGCAAAAGCACTGCATGAGTAATCAAGGTCAAAGGCAGAATTAATGGATGTTCTAATTTACTATGGAGGCAACATAGCAAAACCTCTTAAACATTTTACAACAAAGATCCTGTCCATATTACAGTCTTCAAACAGATATGGACTTCCATACAAGAAGAGTATATTAAAAAAAAAATCCACACCCTCTCAGATGTTCACTCAAAGTGATAAAAATGGAAACAATGGAATCACATCTGCTAAAATCCATATTAGAAAGTATACAAATAAAAGTGCTTATGATAAACAGCTAATGAGAATAAATGGATACACTATTAAGCTATCTTGGCAGAATTTATCAATGTCTTAGATGTACATGCAGAAATTCTCACATATGTCCTCAAAAACACATGTACATGGATGTCCTTTGCAACCACAGTAAAAACCATGGCAACAATCTAAACAGTCATCAATATTGGGCTGGCTGCCATTCATACATACAATTGGTAAACATTTGTTATAACTCTAGAAGTACACGGAAAAGAAGGCGGTCTATTTTTTAAATAAAATCAGCAAGTTGCAGAATAGCATGCACTATTATTATTAGCCCATTTGTCTGTATGTTGTATATCACTCTGTATATGCATTAACTTATTGGGTACACATAGCAAATTTTGATTAACTCTGAAGAATGGGATTAAGTGATGGAAGAGAGGAATTTGAATGTTTCTGAAATTTTAAAAAGTCTAAGCACACATTACTTTGATAATTTTAAAAAGACACCTGGGAAATTATTTGCAAGTAAAATACTCATTTAATTCCTGATAAGCTTTCCTTTCTTTCTTTCTCTCTCTCTTTTTTTTTTTTGACAGAAAAGATAATGACAGTAAATGCTTTACTTAGAATAGAATGGAATTTTTTTTCTACTTTTCTGTCAATGTCTTTATGGATGATGTTGCCATCTTCATTTTGTCACTGTTAGTTGTAACTTCTTTCTGACCTATGTTTTACCCTTTCTGGCTACAAGCTCATTTTACACACAGTTATTTATATGAACAGTTGGGAGCCACTCACTCACCTCTCTTTTGAGAAAAGAAAAATATATTTGTGCTTTCTAACTTTTATTATCTTTATGCCAATAAGTCTTTTTATTTTCACCTAAGATTTGTGTCCATTTTTGGAATGGCAGAGATGCTGGAAATCATATTTCAATCCAACTGAAATGTACGTGTGAGTGTGTGTGTTTGTATGTATGCATGGTTTTATGTCTTTAGAATTCTTTGTGAGTGCTCCAGTAAATCTGGTGCCTTCTGAGACGACAAGAGAGGATTAAGGAAATGGTATGAGTTTTTTGTAACTATCTCAATGAAAAAGTAGAGAAGCATAGAGTGAAAAAATCCTTAGAACAGTCTTGCTCTGTCGCCCAGGCTGGAGTGCAGTAGCACGATCTCGGCTCACTGCAACCTCCGCCTCCCAGATTAAAGCAGTTCTCATGCCTCAACGTCTGAGTAGCTGGGATTGCAGGTATGCGCTATCACACCCAGCTAATTTTTGTATTTTTAGTAGAGACAGGGTTTCGCCATATTGGCCAGGCTGGTCTCGAACTCCTGACCTCAAGTGATTCACCCACCTCAGCTTCCCAAAGTGCTGGGATTACAAGCAGGAATAAATGTTACTGTATTAAAAGTATTAGATCCTGACCCCTGCTTGATGTGTTAAGCTCAGTGTCCTCTATCTGAAATAAAGATACACACTAGCGTGTTCTCCAGATTCACCTTAATTTTACCTGAACAATATTCTAAAATTTTCAAATTATAGCACAAACATACTAAGTACACATATAATTCACAAAAATTAAAAACATATATTTAGCCAAAAGTAAATAAAATAAAATCAGTAAAATAAACAAATCTGAGAACTTCATGAATGGCAACCACAGCCTAAATGCAAAGAAGGAATAAAACAGCTACTTCTTGGCTCTTGGGCTTTCATGGGCCCAGGATCCACTAATGTAAGAGTAATTTCAGAGATTTTGAAGGGTAACTGGGTATATTTATGTATTGTGTTATTTCTTTCTTTTTTTTTTTTTTTTTTTTTTTTTTGAGATAGAGTTTTGCTCTTGTTGCCCAGGCTGGAGTGCAATGGCGCAATCTCGGCTCACTGCAACGTCCACCTCTCGGGTTCAAGTGATTCTCTTGCCTCAGCCTCCCAAGTAGCTGGGATTACAGACATGTGCAACCATGCCCAGCTAATTTTGTATTTTTAGTAGAGACCAGGTTTCTCCATGTTGGTCAGGCTGGTCTCAAACTCCTAACCTCAGGTGATCCACCTGCCTCGGTCTCCCAAAGTGCTGGGATTACAGGCGTGAGCCACCGCACCCGGCCATATTGTGTTATTTCATCTCACATCTTGACCTTGAACTTTGCCAGTTCTCCTATAAATAGCAATTCCACTGTAGTGACTTACATTTGAAGTTTGGGCAGTTTTTGATAAATATCCTTATTACTGGATTTTCTTTTCAAAATGAACAAGAATATTGGACAACTCAGGTCCTCCGTTTGAAGACATTCACAGCTGAGAATGATATTCGTATACATCTGGGCCACAGACTAGCAGTTCATCTAGTTAATCAGTTACTATGTAGCCAACCTCACAAGTTGCTATTTACTGCCAATATGCTGCACAGCTACAAGTGTTATGGGCTAAATTGTGTCCCCTCACAAGTCATACATTGAATTCCAAACCCCCAGTATCCCAAATGTGACTGTTTGGAGATAGGGCCTTTACAGAGGTAACCAAGTTAAAATGTCAGCATTAGGGTGGGTCTTATCTAACATGAATGGAATCCTTTTAAGATGAGATTCAGGTATAGACAGACACAGAAAACAGACCATGTGAAGGTACACGGAGAAGACATCTGTAAGCCCAGGAGAGAGGCCACAGAAGGAATCAACCCTACTGACACCTTGACTTTGGAATTGTGAGAAAATAAACATATTATTTATTTAAGCCACCCAGTCTGTAGTGAAGGTTCATTTTATACAAGAATTATACAACATTTTACTGGTCCCTCTCGAATTCTATAGCAGCAGGCATGTATCAGGGATCTTCACAGATATTTTGGAGATTTTTTTTTTTTTTTTTTTTTTTTTCCGAGAGGGCCTCTGGCATATACTCTTGACATAACATCTGGGCACCATGGGTAGTACCTCCTTTATGACAGATACTTCATTTTAATTAGGGGATGACTGCATTATTTCAAGACAAAGCAGGTGTAGGTTATTATTGGGTGTTGTATCAAAGAAATAAAGAAATGTAGGATGACATGGGGTTATTCATTTCTGCATTGAAAATAAGGGGAAATAAGGAGTTATATAGTAGGATCTTCGCAATTACACTGAAACCAGTATAGTGCGTGCTTGTTGAATGAATGAATATCAGTAATAACTCTCAAGAACTGTATTAAGCACCATATTTACTAAATATCTTACATATTATTTGTAATCATCAAACCACACTGATAAATAAGTATTGTAGCAGAGACAGCTGGCACCTCATCGAAATCTGTTTCCTCCTCTTCCCCGACACCAGATGACCTGATTTCCCAAATTCCTTAACATTTAGGGTTGGCTACACTGATTCCTTTTATCTGATGGGTATGACTAGAAGAGATGTGTGCCACTTTGAAGCCAAAGCATGTTCACAGAAGTTGTAGTGAACACAGACAGACAACAAACAGATAAATACACGACAAAATGGTTGATAAATGTGTGGCGGCGGGGGCATAGATGGAGAGATGGGCAAAATACAAGTTAGAGACAAACTCTCAACTGTAAGCTGGGAGCTCACATCCTATGGTTTCAACCACACAACCAAAGACTACAAAATGCAGCGTGGCAGCATAATCAAATTTACATCATCAGGTTTTGGATTGTCAATAAACTTTCTAGAGATTACTCTGCACAGCCAAAATTTTAAAATGATATCAGATACAACAGCTAAAATTACTGGGTTGAAACTGGAAGCTTCCTTTTTAAACAGAGCTGTAAATGTATAAAATGCCACATTAGGGCACAGGTTTTATCACGTTTATTTGCTAGCTAATTATTGAATCCAAAGCCTTTCCAAACTTGTTTTTGGATGTTCTTGTGTTTGTTTGTTTGTTTGTTTTTCCTAAATCTTTATAGCCGTGAGCCTTGATCTTCATGTTTTCTTTCTCAGAAATCAATCATTCCTTTGTGCTACATACCACCTCCTCCTTCCTGATAGTATGTAGGCCATCTTCAAACTCCCTACAACTTCACCAACATTTCCAACTCATTTTCATACTTTTAAGCCCACTGGCATTATACATGCAATACTGACTCCAATAAAATTTATCATGTGGGATTAGCATAAGCAGAGGTGGCAAACTTCTCATTTGTTGCTCCCAAAAACAAAATGCTAGATCGCTCTCAAGTAAGAAGAAACTTGTATCACAGTGTGGTTTGGATGGTTGCTATGACAATATCGAGTTCTTCTTTGAGAAAGACCATGATAAGGCATTCATTAGGAACATAAGTACCTAGCAGTGAGGGTTGTTTTCTTTTTCATTTTTAAAATATCTGGCCAAGTAGCTGGCGTTTAAACAGATCAAGCATTTTACCTACATTCTCCAAACTTTAATTTCATAACGACTCCTTGAAATAAGATGATGGACAACAAAACTGGAGCTCAAAGAGATGCATAACTTACCTAAAGGGATATCACTGGATTTGCATCCAGGTTCATCTTGTAAAACCACGTTGAACTGCTTACCTTGACTGAATAAATCAGCAATGAGTACAGATATCTACTTTAATTAACACATCTAAATTTTGCTTCATTCTATAACCAAAGCAGTTAAAGGGTAGAATTTGGAAGCACTTAAGATGAACCCTCCAATTCTTCTCTATTGTCTCCAAAGGCTGTCCCATCTAATGGTACAGATGTGTGAAACTCAGAAAAATGATAACAGATTACAGATGAGACGCAACGAAAGCTTCCAGCCAGGAAGGTGAGTGAGGCAGATAGACAAGCTCATGAATTTCCAGAGGAACATATCACAATTCTGATTTGTCTGTGAGGAAAAGACATGATGTCTCCCTATAAAAATTCACTGCACATTGCCAGGCATGGGGGTTCTCGCCTGTAATCCCAGCAGTTTGGGAGTCTGAGGCAGGAGGATTGCTTGAGCCCAGGAGTTCAGAATCAGCCTGGACAACATGGCAAAACTCTGTCTCTACAAAAAAATATAAAAATCAGCTGGGCATGGTGGCACATGCCTGTGGCCCCAGATACTCAGGAGGCTGAGGTGGGAGGATCGCTTGAGTCTGGGAGGTCCAGGCTGCAGTGAGCCATGATCATGCCACTGCACTCCAGCCCGGGCAACAGAGAGAGACCTTGCTCCTTGCAAAAAAATCACTGGACATAATGAAATTATGAACATAAGAAAAGGTTGGATTTAAGGGCTATTTTAATGTAATTCCCATCATTTTCATCATTCTTTTGTGATTCATATTATTTACCATGGAAGACTTCTATTTAAATCAAAAGGATTAACTGGGAGGGTTACATTGATAACAAATAACTAGCTATCACAAATAGAAATTTGTGAAGGGATGGAATGTGAGAAAATTAGCTTTGATTATGAAAAATGAAAGAGAAAAGCCTAATGTAGAATTCGCAGCTAAGTGGGGGCAACCCATGCCAATCATTTCAAAGGCTGGTCACACCCGAGGCGTGACTAACCCAGCAGCAGATGGAACCTGGATTCTACATTTCACCATGCTTGGGGTGGGCTTGGGGCTCCATGACCCACAATTTTCCCACTGCATTTCCCAGGCCAAATGCCTCAGGTTCTGTCTTATTCCGGAATCCTGTTCATGATTAGAATCATGCTCAAGAGCTAAAATCTTCTTCTGAACTTAAGCCCCACTGACGGAAGCACTGAATATGCCTAACTCTTACAGTTTCCCTCCCTGCCTGGAAGTGGGCTCTATACCAAGCCAGGTGGTCCAGAGCCACTCTTCTGCCCACATCCTATCCTCATCCTCATCTTAAATGTAGCCAACAAGAGGAAAAACATCCATTCTGGTTTTGGCTGCTGGTAGTAGGCAGCGGTCTAAGGTAGCTCTTGAGTGTCTCACTCCCTGATCTGTGTATCTGCCTTCTATGAGCAGCATCTGTGACTATGAAGAATGCCACCCGTGTGATTAGGTTACACTATAGGGCCAAGGAGAGGGGGGTTTTCAGATATACGTCAAGTCTGTAATCGGCTGGCTTGTTCAGCAAAAGGGAGATTATCCCCGGCGGGCCTGAACTACTAAAAAGAAGTGTGCAAGTGAGCTCCATGAAACGGGGTCTCAAGTTCAGAGACATGAAGTGACAGAGACTTCACGTTCCTGCTAGGCTTGAAGAAGCAAGTCATCGTAAGTTCTACAGCTGCAAGAAAGTGAACTTCTCCGAAAAGGACACGGAGCCCTCACCGAGGCCCCCACCAACCCCTTATTGTAGCCTCATGAGCCCCTAAGCAGAGGACCCATTAAACCAAGCCCACAAACATGGAAATGGTGAAACACTCACATTTTTCTACCATGATACCATTTATAAACATCGGATACATTTATCATTCCAAGGATTCTTGCCATTTGCAGATACCTATGCTTGGCTGCTGAGGAAGGCTGAAGCCCCTTGAGGACAAAGAAACATGAGCTTGTTGTCATTTGATCAAACGGGCTCTTGAAGCTTAGGTCAGCAGTACCATTGTGAAGTCTGTTTTTCACTTTAAGGCCATGTGAGACAAAGAGATTTGTTGTGGTCTGTAGGGTTTTACTACAACATAGGATGTGGAATATGGCAAAAGTGTAGTTTCCTACACATGGGTTTCCTAGGATGGCAGTAATCAAGTACCACAAACTAGGGGTTTAAACAACAGAAATGCACTGTCTCACAGCTCTGGAGGCCAGACCCTGAAATCAAGGCATCGGCAGGGCTGGTTCCTTCTGAGGGCTGGGAGAGAAGGACCTGCTCCAGGGTGCTCTCCTTCCTTGTAGATATCCACCTTCCCCTTGTGCCTGCACATCGTCCTGCCTCTGTGCTTGTCTGTCTCACTTTTTTTCCCCTTTTTCTAAGGACACTTATCATATTGGATTAAGGCCCAGCCTAATGACCACACTTTCACTTGATTACCACTGTAAAGACCTGATCTCTCCAAATAAGGTCACATTCCCAGGTGCTTCAAAATAGGTGTTTTTTTTTAGCCAGGCATAGTGGCTCATGCCTGTAATCCCAGCACTTTGGGAGACTGAGGCAGGTGGATCACTTGAGCTCAGCAGTTCGAGACCATGGCCAACATGATGAAAACCCGTCTCTACTGAAAATACAAAAATTAGCCGGGCATGATGGCAGGTACCTGTAATCCCAGCTACTTAGGAGGCTGAGGCAGGAGAATTACTTGAACCTGGGAGATGGAGGTTGCAGTGAGCCGAGATAACTCTAGCCTCAGCCAACAGAGCGAGACACTGTCTCAAAAAAAAAAAAAGATTTTTTGAAGAACACAATTCACTCCATAACGCCCATAAAAGAGGAAGGAGAGAGCATCCAAGGACTAGGTACCTTACTGGAGGGCAGATAGCCAGCTGCCTCTGCTGTGGCAGCAAGACACCAAGGTGACCCTCCCAATTTCAATAGCCGTGGGATCATCAAGGGCAGGAGAAAGGGAAAGGAAGAACCTTGAATGTGACTGCATATCTAAGTCCCTAAATTGAAACAGAATGACCTACCTGGAAGTAAGAGTATGATTTTTTTCTTTCCTTCTGAGAGTGGAAATGAGGGCTTGTGAGAAAGTTGAAAAATAGAGAAAGTTTCATTTCAGCTTATCTGAGTTGTGCTGCATGAATATTTTTATTCGCCTCCTATGTCCTGAGCATGAGAATTGAGCACCAGAGGAAGAATCCAAGACTCCTTCACTTTATCCCCAGTCCACAGACCGACCATTGTCCTCAGCAATAGGCTGACTGTCATTCCCTCTCATTTTGCATGCAGGGATTGTACACGCTGAAAAACTCCCTTCTGTCTAACCTCCCCTGCAGCAGGTCAAGTATAGTTGTTTGCTTTAATATAAGATATCTGTTGTACTAAGACTTCATTGAATAAGTTTCTTAAACAGACGAGCAAGTCATTTTTCCACTCTTGAGTGGCCTCTTAGTGAGTTAATCATTTTGTGGAAATACAAATAAATCTAACACAAAATATCAGAATTTTTTCCTTCTTAATAGAATTTAAATTCTTTGATTTAAAACATCATAATTTATTCCTTGTTAGATTTTTCAAATAATATATTCAAATGTCCATGTTAAATGTCAGATTAAGAGACAATGATTTTTATGAGTAATTTTTTATCACCAAAAGTTAATTGCCTCATGTATATTTCTCCACTGAGTTAGTAATATTATGACAATATTAATGCCGTAGATTTTCAAGCTAAAACAGATCTATTTTTCAAATGGAAAATTAATTCTAAAAAAATGAAAGTACTAATTTAAATCATTAATGGCAATTTCCTCTTTGCAGACTGCCTTGAACTTTTCCAGTTCTGCCCTAACAGTCCAGGAGAAGGAAAATACAAATTTTCTGGCATGGAAATAACATAAGAAGGAGCTGCAAGTTTCTTGGCAAAGACATTGACAACTTTTCAGGATAATCACAAAAGGGATAGGATAACTCTAAAAATGAACATAATGCTAGTCTGAGCCAGTTAAGTGCTCACTTTCATAGCTTCTGGTAGAAAGAGCATTCATGGAATTAAATATTAAATATGTTCTCCGAAGTTCTGAGATAGTAGGATAACTGTGTGTACTTATAAGAAAGGAGCGATGTCATGGGTGATTTTCCTAAACATAGCAGAGAATCAGGAAAACAGCCAAGCATTTGCTGAGACGGAGGCACATAAAACATGAATCTGAGAATCCCAAGGGTAGAAGAGAGAAATGTGGAGGGTTATCATCATAAATCATGTTAGAAACTAGGGCAAGAAACTCATGGTGACCTCTGGACACTAAAATGCAGCTGGTCATAATTAAGCTTCAGGCTTTGCTCTTCCTGGGCCAGTTCATTGGCATCGTCTACTGCCAGGCCTCGTACCAGTCTACAGAAGAGATTGCCTGGAACAAGCCTCTTGATGTTATTCACACTTATGAACCAACTCTGGTACTAGATGCAAAAAGCATGTCACAAGAGGGATGGGTGGGATGGGGGGGAAGGGACATCGCAGGAATCATGCCACTTTCCAGCCCCACCACCCTCTGGTGCCACGTCCACCCTTGATCACTATTACCAACCCAGTATCCCTCCAGCACTTCACGGGAGGGTGTCAGGGATCACAAGGAAACACATGGGACCCACACATTTCGAGATGCCTCACCTCCTGCTCGAAAGTCAGGTGAAGAAGGATTCTTGAGCCAAACATGAAAGATTTTTTGAGAGCTAAGCTGACAGGAGAATTTCCCGTAAAAAGATGAAAGCCCTGGCTTTAACAGAGCCCCTTTTCATTTTTACCTTTAAAAAGCTTTTCCTTTCATGTTACCCTGAGGTTATTCACCGCTACGACAACAATCTCCAAAGACGTTTTCTCCATTATAGAAGAGGAAAAGGTTGGCGTTGGGATTTGGTCAGGAAATGAAGCGTTGAAGACAAACAAGATGTTCTAATATAGAGCAAACCTGATGAGTCATTTTCTAAGTGAGCAGCCACTTCCAGATACAATTCATAGTATCTTCCTAGTTATTACTATTATTATTATTGTTTTTTTTTTTTTTTTTCTGAGACGGACTTTCACTCTTGTCATCCAGGCTGGAGTGCAATGGCGGGATCTCGCCTCACTGCCACCTCTGCCTCCCACATTCAAGCGATTCTCCTGCCTCAGCCTCCTGAGTAACTGGGACTACAGTTGCCTGCCACCACACCTGGCTAATTTTTGCAATTTTAGTAGAGACAAGGTTTCACTACATTGACCAGGCTAGTCTCCAACTCCTGACCTCAGGTGATCTGCCCACCTCGGCCTCCCAAAGTGCTGGGATTACAGGTGTGAGCCACTGCGCCCGGCCTCTTCCAAGTTATTCTGTCATTTGGCACTGATCCGTCTTTCAAAGACATTCAATTAATCACCAGAGATGCAACACCATAAAGGAGCAGAATATTTCAATATATTACCTGATATATTTTCTTTTGTCATTACCCTTTTGTACCCTGTAGCTTTCTACCTTAAAGGCTCCACCTACAGGCAGAGGCTCATTGCCTTAGAGAAGGAGAGACTTAAAAAAAATCCCAGGCAAACAGAGGGTCAAGTAACCAGACTTGGAATTGCACAGATGTTGGTGAATCTACAGCAGCCACAATGGTCCAGGATTGAATCTACTCCATGGAAGCTTCGAAGTGGGAAGAGCCGAGGATGACCTAGAGCCCATAAGAAGATAAGTCTGAATCAGCTGGAGGAAGGTGGATACCCACAGGATGTGTGATGGGGTCTGGATGAGAGCAGCTGGGTGAGAAGCAGCACCACTGCCTTCCTTAGACCCACCAGGATCAGTTCTTTCGGTAGTGATGGAGATGGGGAGGGGGATATAAAAACCCCCAGATCTCTTTGATTAGGTGAAAGTAAAGCAACCAATGGAATGCCCTAATTCTTTCTGGGATCTCCTACAGCACACAAAAAAACCTGATTTCCAACACTGGGTAGCAGCAATACTGTAGGTATGGCCCCACAGAGTGTCTATGCACAGAGTCCTGTGGTCGCTGGGGACCCAAGGGGTGCAGTAAATACCTCATGAAGGGCAAGGAGGAGGTCAAAGAGACTTTCTGAGAATAACAGTATTTCCAAAGGGTGCTGGCTCAAAAAATGAAAATATGTAAGCCAGATGTTTAGCATCCTGGGTAAGATATTAACAAGCTTCAACATCAGATGTAAAGGGAAGGAAAAGAAAATTGATTCCACAACATCCCCAGTTTCACTTCAGTAGAGGCCAATAAGACAGAAGCCAACAGGAAATTAGACTTCCCTTCTTCAGGCAGAACAGTGGTGAGGCCCTATGGGCTGATCATCCCCAGGAAAAGGATGAAAGGATAAGAAGAGGGAAAGAACCCGAATGGGAAAGAGTATTTCTCAAAGGGGCCCAAGTTTTAATTTATAAGATTAAAAGAATGAGGGTTAAAATGTAAACAAAGCCACCAAAATATAGAAAACACAGATTTGGAATTCTAAATCCATGTACTCCATTCATGGAGGAGGTGGAAACTTGCTGAGTTCTCGGACCACTCAGCCAGTTCACAGACATAAAAGGAGACCCAGCGGAGAGGGAGTGGGTGAGTGGGAGATCACCGCCCTGGAGAGGGCAGCTGTCCCATTGGGGGGCCCCACCTCCACTTTTTCGAGTGCTCTTCCTCCACCTCAAGCCCGGTGGAAGCCAGGGGATGACTCAGAGATGGGGACACAGAGGGCTCTCCTCCCAGCCTGAAGAGCTAGAGCAGGCTGTCAGGAGGAATGTGAATACAGTGGGTGGACCTGTACTCCAGGGCTGTGGGAAAGACTGGGGTTCCCCAAGGACCAGATGTGGGCAGGTGGAGAGACAGAAAGAGAGAGAGACAGAGGAAGAAGGGAGACAGAGAGTGCCCGCCACCGCACCCGGCTAATTTTTTGTATTTTTAGTAGAGATGGGGTTTCACCGTGTTAGCCAGGATGGTCTCGATCTCCTGACATTGTGATCCGTCCGCCTCGGCCTCCGAAAGTGCTGGGATTACAGGCATGAGCCACTATTCCCGGCTGGGAGAAGTCTTAGGGCTTAGACATGAGGGCCACCTGGAGGGTGGCAGGACCCTGGAAACAAGAAGCCAAAGTCAAGTCTTTAGGGCAGCAGGAGAGATCAGAAGGGGCCATGCAACCCGGCTGAATAGAGAGGCATCATTGGGAGGCAGGAGAGATGCAGAAAAGAGGTTTCCAGCGGTGCAAATGTACTAAGAGTTCATGAAAGCCCCCGGTGCTGAGGAATCAGCTGGAACCCTTGGCCAGGCTCCAAGTACCCGAGCCAAAAGCTCTGTTTCCTGGCCCCATTCTCCTCCTTCCTACACCCTTTCAAGCTTCCTCAAACTTCTTCAGAGCTTGGCCTGAGAGAGAGAAGGAGGTGAACAGAGAGAGAGGAGAGAGACAGAGAGAGAGAGAGAAGCAGAGACTCTAATTAAACCTCTTCCTCAATGTCAATGTCAGGCAGAGAAGAACCTGTGGCTTGAAATGAGCAAGAAATACAAATTGTGGAATTGATTAATAACTTGCCTGAATACCAGGATTAGTAAATTTAGACTTTGTTCACTACTTCAACTGCCCACAGGACTGAGTAAAACAAAAATCACAGACCCTGCTGAAACTGCAGGAATGATTTAACTCCTGCACACGATTTAATTGGGCAACTGGAAAAGGAAATACAACCTTTTGTTCTGACGTTATTAAAGATGTGCTTGCTCAGCATCATTATTGTATTAAGTTTTCTGCTGAAGAAGATTAAGAAGAGAATAAGAATAGAATAAGAGTAAAAAAAAAGAGAAATACAATACAATAAAAACATAAAAGAAAAGAATAGAAAAAAGAGTAAGAAAAGGAAAAGAGGGATGTAAGTAATGCAGATTCAGGTGTAAGCACAAACTAAGTTCCATCTAGAGACTACTGAAATACTGCACTCACTTTGATAACCCAGAAAACACAGGACAAGATCTGAACGAGACCTGGATCTGGGTTGTGCTTCCTCGATCACTAACCCTAGTAACCATACTTATTAGCTAAAACCTCTGCCTCTAGCTTTTCATTTGGAACATACATTTAATATACAGCCCTACATAAGTTCAGCCAATATGCAGCTCAACAATATATTAACTAGGCAAGTTGTATTTCAGAATCTGTGTGAGAAGCGGCATGCACGCAGCCTCCCAGCATTCGCTGGTGCTGGGGCTTGTGCGTGACAACATCAGGGAGCTCTTCCAAATGCTGGTCGCTCGGTACCCATATGGAGGCTTTCTTCCTCTAGATTGCCAAGCTTTCTTACCAGAGGAAGATTTAGGCTGTGTCCACTTAGGGCCAAAATAATGAATCAGTTCAGTTGTTATGTGTGCACCATTTATACTGGGGTTTGACAGAATTTTAAACTTTTTACTCGATTGCCTTGATATCATGGAATTATTGCTATTTATCAGTCTATATTTACACAAAAGGCCTGACATGGCTACACACAGGCCCTGTGGTCTGATACCACGTAAGGCACCCACAGCATCCCTCGCCAGCTGAGATCGAATTTATTCACACACATGCGTCTCCCCTCCAAATGGAACTTATTCTGACTTTAGATCTCCTATTAGGACTAATGCCATTAACTAATTGTCCAATAATTTCAGCAAAATTCAAAGTATAAAACGGAAGTATTACCTGGCCCCACTACAGGAGTTGTGGGAACCTCACTGGCAATCAGATTTTTCCTGTCTGTCTTCTCTTGCTCTTCACTTCCCAGGAAAGCAGGCAGATCCACTAACTTCATAATTCTAGAGCAAAGTGGGGCCTTACACACAAGCCTACGCTTGCCCTTGGAGTTTATTTTGACTTCTGCATAGGTGGCTGCCACTGCAGTTGTCAGAATCTGAAATTCAGGAGATGCCCCTTGACAGGCAGGGACACCATCTGATGGCAGTGTGACAAGGAGCATTGTTAATACAGGAAGGGCTTTCTAATTGAGAGTGGATACCCATGCAGAAATTTTCGGATGTTCCCAAGGCCACTACAAAGAAACATGAAATAAAAAGATATATCCCATGAAACTACAATTTTGGAAAAGTAAAAATAATTACAGCAAGTTTGTATCTGGGATTTGTTCATTTTAAATAAAATTTAAAAACAAAAACAAAGCAAAAGAGAACAAGGAGGGGAGAGGGACAGTAAATGGGTAAAAAGAAGGAAAAGATGGAGGAGAAAGACCAAGAGCTGTCAAGGCCCACAGTCGCCTTAAAACAGAATGTGCCCATCCCCCCACCCCCTTCTATGCCCCCCACCCCCTTCTATGCCAGCGCCCAGTACCTCACTCCCTATCTGCGCTGCCTCCCAGCCAGGGGCCTTGACAAGCCCACACTCTCCAGGAAGGGTATGAGCACAGCCTCTACTGCAGGAGAGGATGGAGACAAGCTCTGTTCTTCTTGCTTTTATGTGAGTCTGATACTCATATCACTCATCTCCTTTCTGAGCATTGCAGGCTTTAAGGACCCTCTGGCTGGCTCCTTAACCCAGCTTCTGAAATCCCCCGGAGCTGCCTGACTTCCCACTCTGGACCCTAAGTAAACATTTACAGAAGCAGTGGATGCCGCTTATTTCTTACTCCACAACTATCTATCCATTCTTTTGCCAACCAAATTATTATGTGCCAATCACATTGAGGTAAAGCAAAAATGAACGCACTTTAAAAACATTAAAATGTGCTCAGATTGCAAATGTATACAGCTATTATACCCAGCAGGAAAAAAGCCAATTAATTTACGTATTTAAGAAAATTTTCTTACTTGAGGACAAAAATTAAAAAGGGGAAGGAAACTCATGTTGAATTTCACTTAGAAAAGTCAAAGTGAAAATAATCAGAATGTCTTCAGCTACCCAAGGATTTACTGTTAACTAGAAAAAAGCATCGTTTCCATGCCACCTCAGCTTTCCAAATCTATCATTCTAATCCATTTTTAAAAAAGAATAAAATCTGAAAAATAAAGTACATCTCCAGGCCTCTCATATTGCAAATGACGTGTCCAATCATACTTCTACAAGGAAAAAATTAATGGCAAAGGGGGCCAAGAGTTAACTGCTGGAATGGTTAACTAGAAAAGGCCCAGTCGAAATTAATCCCCATGATTTCATGTGAATTTCAAGCCATAGCTTAATCCTACATGTCAGTACAACAGGAACTGCTTAGCTCTGCTAATCAGATTCTAGAATTTTTCTTTTCTTTTTTTTTTTTTTTGTAAGCATCTTAGTTTCGCAAAGGCAGCTGGCTGTGATGGTATTGGTCACTCTGCTGAAGAATATACATGGGACCTAAAATAGCTCTGGGTCCTTTTCAACTGTGGCAGTTTCATCAATGGCATCCGTTACAAGATCCTGGTAGTAATATTGATATATCAAAGTACCAATTAAACCATCTGCACAAGGGTATCCATCCACCTGTGTCTGATACCATGTAAGGCATTCTTTCACATCTGGCACAAAGAAGGAAAAAAGGCACAATTCTACAAGATTGGATTTTGAAAGAACTTCTGTTTGAAGAGTGAAAAGAATAGATGTGACATGAATGGACAGATGAATTAGGAGGCATACAGTGTAATAACACAAAGAAATTATTGTGGGTTCATATCTAAACTCCATCAGAAAATATATTCATATATTCTGTAACATGAACACATTTAATCTATAGTGGTTGTTCTCAGAGTAACAGAAAAAAAATATTCTTATTATTAAGTTCACTTTCAGAAAAATATAATTAAAAACCACATAGGACAAGGAGAGACAAAGAATAAATTTCCTTGAATCATCTAAAAATAAATGTATCAATATAGCAACATACCACTGTGGGCTCTTCATCCTTCCTGCTTCATTAATTACAGTCCAGTGACACCTCCATGCCCAGTCCTAGCTAAAAATCATACTCTCAACACTAAATATTAAGTCTCAGATTCTGACAAGTATGTTCATGTCAGTAGTTACAACAAGCAAAATATGTGAAATCAGGATTATAGCTGTGGGTGCTAGAAGTGGATTCTCTGTCCTATTATTCTCCATTTTCACACAACTACACATCCATCCATCTTCCATCTTTCCGATTCTGTTCTGTGCCCTCAGAGGTTGACACCCACAGGCCAAATCACTTGGGCTCCCTTGTCCTGCAACCTCCAGTTGGGTTTTGACAAGGGGAGGTACCAGGAGGTCAATGGGTACAGACGGAGGGGAGAGAGAGAGAGAGAGAGAGAGAAATTGACTGGGGCTTCCCTCCATCCTTCCTGGCCCTGCTTGCTTGAAATCTCTGGTTCCGGTGGGGACTGCAACCCTCTAGGATTTACCATCCACCAGATGTCCCTTCTGCTAGGGCTCCAATTCTCATTAGCTCTGGGAACAGCATTTATTCCTCTTGTCCCTAAAGACCTAACAATAGTAACAGCTTCGCACCATGAATAGTTCAGGTGTCTTGACATCCTTCTTTGTTTTTTTTAAAACTGTTTTCTTCAGCCTCCTATCTGAGGGTACTGTTTTCTTCTGGAATCTGAACTGACACACCCTGGAATTACAGGGTTATGTTTCCCTGAAGGGAAGGGTGACAATAGGAAGTACTAATGAAGATATTTCCCCCTCAGGATGACATATGCTCTCTAATTTAGTGACTCTCCCACCCCCCCACCACCCCCCACCCCCCAACCCCATGAGGTCAGCATGGAGGCACCAGAGGACATATTTACAATTCTTGGCCTTCACCTTGATGAAAGCAGCAATCTTGGGGAGAGGGAGAATGGTAAGGAAAAACTGCCGAGGTGCAAGCTGTTTCTTGACCCTGTGCCCATCCTGAGCTGTATAAGATTCTCAGAGCACAGGAAAAGAAAGCCAGAGCCAGGGCTGAGCCAGGTGGAGGAGGGGAGGGCTGGAAGCCTGGACCTCTGGGAGGTGCTGCCCCGCCATGTGCCCTGAGGGCCTTGATGTGGGAGCAGAAGAGATGGCCTGGTGTGTCCAAGACAGTGAGGGCCTGGTTCCAGCCCCCGCTCTTCCAGGAGCTAAAAAGAGCCTCCACATCCTACTGCACTGAAAAGAGGAGTTGGCCTTGCTGAAGGGAGGATGGCCCACAGGGGCTCACAGGGTCAGGGCAAAGGGTTGCTCTTGGGGAAAGCTGCAAGGAGGTGTGAACTGGAGGCAGAGCTGCTGGAACACATCTCAGATGCCAACCTTAACAGCGAAGACGCATCAGGCATCTCAGCCCCTTCGGGCAGACAGAGACACTGTGCTGGATGGTGGGACGCTGCCCATGACACGGCTCACTGTGAGCTCCCGACTTAGATTCAATGCCAGAAACAGGGGCAGAGAGGCCAATGGCTGAATAGAGGAGACTTCCAATCTGAAACGCTTGAGTGTCTCTCCCGGTGGGTAAGATTCTGGTTTTTACCCTTAGGTGGAAGGTGGAATGGGCACACTAGAACACTATTCTTTTCTCCCTCTTTGTGAGCAGCTTCTTCGATAAAAACAGTCTATTTTTTTCCCAGGTGCACCCAAGTGTTCAGTGGCTTCAGTGAATAAAGTCACTGGAAGATATGGGGCTCATTTCTATTTAATTAGATATAACTTTTCATTATCATTATTGTGAACTTGGCTTTAAATTATGCAAATATATATAAACTATACATTATCACTTCCCTTTATTTAATCCTTTATATATATATGTATTTATTCCTTTAAATAAATATATACATATATTTATTCCTTTATATATATGTGTGTCTATAGGTCTGTGTTTTCATGGCCATACAGTGGGCTGCAGGCCACTTTGCAGGAATTCTTCCTACCTACCACACTTACTGCTTAGCACACAGGTGTTCAAAAGACATCTGTAACAAATAACTAATTACACATAATTGTAAAGTAAAGTAAAGCTAGACCAAAATGACATAAAATCTGAATCAATGTTTCCATGCAGAAAATCCTAGCTTTCACTACAGCTTTATTCATTTCATACTTATATAAAATACTCATGGTATTTTTCCACATACTTAGTGCTGAGTTACACTCATGTTTGCTTTCCATTCTCTGCTGTCTTTTTTTAATAATACAGAAATTTTCATACAAAAATGTACTGAACACGTGTAGTAGCATTATAGAATCAGAGCAGTAGCTGCAAATGATTTATGAAACTATCTACTCTGGATAATACAACAGTGCTATACATACACAATTACTTCATAAAATATGGAATACAAACATGAATAGGAATGCCTATGACATTCAATGTGTTTTGTCGGCCTTTAAAAACTTATTTCTGAACACAGTGGCTTTTCTTCTTCTTTAAAAAAAAAAACACATTCTATCAGAATCCATCTAAACTATTTCAGAGATGTGAAAAGCTGTCATATTTGCAAAGACCAACAGAGAAAAAGGTATTACAGTTATCCATTCCACCTCTTGATGCCAGTTAAATATCTTTGGGAGCTCATTTAGGTTTCTAAAAGAGAAGATCATGCAAAATGCTTATTTTAGGTCTCCTTAATGGAGACTGAAGAATGTTATGCAGCTCTCTGCGTTTTTTTTTTCTTTTTATGTCTAAATTATTTGACTTCTTTAAACCTTTCACCTGGATACTTTTCAAGTTTTCCACATGCATCTTTAATAGAGGAGGCCTGGAACCAACCAAACATAGATTAGAACACCTCACTTCTCTAAAGTTAACCTTTATCGGGCAAGCTCAGTCACTCAAGAAAGAGTCAAGAGCCAGGATGTAGACAAAAGACCACTGAGCTGCCACATCTTCACAGGACCAACTAACAGGCAACAGAATTGCACCAAAGCTTGAGGTCTGTAACCTGTACTCAGATCCATCGTAACCCACTTATTCTTTTTGTAGACAACCTACCAACAACCATTAACAACCTTGTCTTCAACCTATACATTAACAAAATAAAATGCATGTCAGGACACAGATGACAGTACCTAAACACCAATAGCAAACTGGAGCTGATGGTGGAGCTACATCCACAGACATGCACTAAAGAAGAATAGATTTTTTTTTAATGGATGCAATCAGAACTCCACAGTTTTATAACTTCTGAAAAAAAGAGATAATATATTTATCTAGTACTTCTTATACATGATTTTTATAGAAGAAATCGTTTAATTGTATACACATATATCAACATAAAAAAAAGGCCACAGAAATGCAAAAACTTTTTTAAACCTTCCAATGACCAGGAAGATATGCACTATGATTTCTCCTTTGTGCATCAAGCGCTTTGGGAGCTAAAGAGGCTTGCCAAAGTAAAGTAGCGCGTCCATGGAAGAGAGAAGACCAGATTCCAGGCCATTTAACCCCCAAGGCTACTGATCTTTGTAGTATAGTCAAAGACGCAGACTCAGCATTCTTAAACTTCTGATTGCCTTTCACTCACTTGCCTGCTCTTGCCTCCTAAATATATGTCTGTTCTTAGGAACTGTATTTGGTCTTTGTAGTAGTCAGTGAGGGATGCCATAACCAAACACTACTGACAGGGCGGCCTAGACAACAGACACTGATTTTCTCGTGGCTCTGCAGATTGCAAGTCCAAAATCAAAGTATCTGGACGTTTGGTTTCTCCTGAGGCCTCCTGCGTTGGTCTTCAGATATCCATTGTCTTGCTGTGTCCTCACATAGCCTTTTCTCTGTGTTTGTGCTCTCATGGTATTTCTGCCTTTTCTTAAAAGCATGCCAGACCTATTACATTAGGGCCCAATACTTACAGCCTAGTTTAACATGAATTGCCTTGGTAAAGACCCTATCTCTAAATACAGCCTCACTGGGGAGGTTAAACTTCAGCAAATAAATTGGCCGGGGCGGGGGGGGGGTGCAGAATTCACTTTCCCTGAAAGGCATATTTATTCTCAATGCTTCGATTATATCTCCAATATGATGTACACCAAACCTGTCTCTTCAGGTCTCAGGTCTTATTTGTGCTACAGTCACAAATGTATTTCCAACTACCTACGCAATATTCTCATTCTGATATCCTGTTAGACTAAACTTGTATCAAACCAAACTCATTGGCATCCTGGTCAAAGACATTTTCTTTTCTCGTGTCCTTGCATTAATCAATGGTTTGATTTGGTTTGAACTACTTTTCACTATTCCTGTCTTCCTCATTTCTCCAGCCGATAAGCAAGTCTTACTGATAACTCTGTTCAAAATGTGTTTGCATTTAGTCATTTTATCCTCCCCCTCTACCACTTGAGTAAAGGCCTTCATAACCTCACACCTGAAAGAGCACGATAATCATCTACCACCTTGGACCCAAGGTAGATGCTCAACCTTATTTAATGCCCTCCTATTGTGTATGAGAGGAATCCATTAATAGGATGGTATGTCACTCTTATTGTTAGGTTATGTTATAAGACATAGGTAGCTTTAAGAAAGGATTAACCTAAGTTAGACTTAACCTAATCAAGTTACCCCTTAAAAGAGACGTAGCTCATCCTGGTGAAGGAGACTTCAATCATGAGAGAAATTCAACAAGAAACAGATTGTTCATTGTTAGCTTTGAAAATGAAGGGAGCACTCACTGTGGCACGGAATGCAGGCAGGTGACAGTCCCCGGGGAAGAGCCAGTGAGGAATGGAGTCCTCAATCCTACAACCATAGGAATTGAATTCTGCCACAGCTACCTGAGCTTGGAGAATGACCCCAAGCTCCTAATGAGATTTCAGTCCTTATTGACACCTTGATTTCAATCTTGTGGCACTCCAAACACAGAACACATCTATCTATGTTATGCCAAAACTTCTGAGCTACAGAAATGGTGAGATCACCAACAGGGGTCTCTTTAAGACTCTAGATATGTGGTAAGTTGTTACACAGCCATAGAAAGCTAACATTACTTGGTTACCCTCTAATTCACCTCCCACTGCCACATTTATATTTCTTGTTCAATTAGTTCATTATTTTGGTGCCCTTTTACCAACCTCATTGAACATTATCATAATGCTAAGGGCCTATGGGTGAGTATTATATGCCTTAAACATACACACACACACACACACACACACACACACACACACAGACACACACACTTCCCAGAGAAAGCAGTTACGTGACTTTTGGAAACATAACCAAACTGTCAAAAGAACATAAAACTAGTTACTCATATTTGGAAAGGTAATTCAGTACTATTTGTTCTGCTATGGTGTAAAAAAAATCCACAATATTTTAATGGCAATAGTTATTAAATAGTGAAAATCTAGCAGCATTTACATCAACTAATGTTAAGTTCCATAAGTACTATGCCCAAATATTATTTTATCCCTTATCATGTTAATTCCTGCCATTGAAACTTACACCCAGTTTTCAAAGAACTTTGATTTTTGCCTCACCTAAGACAGCAAGTCTATTCCCCCAATTTGGCAATACAAAAACTTTTGTTTCAGGCAAGCCAATGTTCTCAGTGCTCCACTGTGCATCTCTGTTCAATGCGATTCCTTTCAGAACCACTTATGAAGAAGAATTCCTCTCCATCAATCCAAACCTTTGAGATGCATCTATGCATCTATGAACTTCTTGTTCATAAATTCATTAATTAACAAACATGTACTGAAGTACCTACTGGGTATACTAGAAATGATGAGATGCTTTTTCATTGGAAATTGGTTAAAACTAATAAAGATTAGGAAGCTGTAAAAAAAAATTAGACAAAGATCTCTATGCAAGAATATCAAATTATACTGGTCAAAATTCATCTCTACTTTACAAAAGATGTCTGTAAACCACAGGAAGGAGACATTGTTTTTAAAAGTATACATGTATAGTTGGCTATCTTTTGCTTAACAGAGAAGGAAAATAAGAAAACATTTGCTTATCTTTAAGAAAACAAGCTCAGGAAGAGTAAGCTGGAAACATGGCGTTGATGGAACACAAGTGGTGGATGGAGGTAGTGGAGGGCCAGGAGGAGGCAATGGGAGGATAGGAATGAGGAGGGAGGCAGCCTTCTCTGCAGGGAATTTTTTGTATAGATTTTGCTCCTGGAAATATGTTAAAGGTCCAAATACATTCAGTCAACAAAGGCAGGACAATCCTATAACTGAAAACATACTGAAACAAATAAACCTAATTATATCTCAAATGGATATCATTACCTCTGTGAAGGGAGAAAAAAAAAGAAATAGAAGTAATCCAAGTGATTATAATTCATTTGGAATAGGCCTTTTCCTCACCTCTGAATTGCAGGGGTTGTTGGTATTTAAGTGATTGAAGGTCGTCTCTTATGTTGCCGCAATCCCCTATTATTTTGGCAGGACTCATGACTCGTCTAAATAGTCAGTTTTCATCTTTTATTTATGCTGTTTTTTTCTCCTATGTACACACTATAGAAATGGAAACTTCACTGTAGTAAACTTTTCCCTCTTTGTTAATGACCACTGCTGGCCTAAAAATGTTACCTTTATTTTAACACTGCTGCCTATGGCTATTAGAAAAAGTTGTTTCACACATAAACATACTTCTTGGAACCAAAAACTTTCCATATAACTAAAATGTAATGCTTGACTCATCCAGTTCTATCTATCTATCTATCTATCTATCTATCTATCTATCTATCTATCTATCTATCTATTTATCCATCTGTCCATTTATCTATCTATCCATCTACCTGTCTATCTATCTATACTTCCCCCACACTTATATATGATCCTCTTTTAACGACTTGGGGAACTTTTCAACATTTTGTTACTCCACTGGCTTTTCACACAAATGGGGAAAAGACAGACTTAAGGGTACCAGATAAACAAAAATTACTAAATAGCTAAGAGCAACTGTCTCAAGGGTCCTGGGGACCTGGAGGCCCTGCTGCCAATGCTGGGACCCAGCACCTCCACTCCAGCTGCTGCTGCCAGATGTGAGTGCCAGGGTAGTCAGATGTGTTGTTTAACTCAAGTGAAAATGGAAATCCAGGTTTTTAGATGTAATCAAACAGTTTCCAAATATTGGCATTCAATTCAAGATATTTATTTCTAAACTATCTGAGGGCCACTCCCAACCCATCTATAGGTCACATTCAGCTGCTGAGGACATTGTGAGACCTCAGATATGGAACAACAAAGCCAACTAGAGATACCTAAGCACCAAGTTATGTATTACAAACAAGATTTGCACACAAGGGAGAAATAAAACTGGGAGCAGAAGTGGAAAGTGCTGCAGAAGGAAGACTTGAACTGAATTTAGAAGGAAAACACTACATCTTAGAGTATAGAAAATAAAAGGGAAAAAAAAGTTTGCCAATATGTCATGGCTAATTATGCCCTCAGTGTCTTTGTAAACGGAAGTGCCAGGCCACTATTCACTGAAACTTAGCTTGGTTTTACCAAACCTCGAAAAGTTAATATTATGATACATCCAGAAAGATGAAGATAAACATGACATGTTTATAATGTGATTTCCCCATTCTACCTCTAATTTTTTAAAAAAATTATCATTGCTTTTTTTTTAAAGTTGTGAGTATGTTTCATATAATGTTTCTGATCTTTTCTCAATGTCCAGTTGTTTTTACTTCTTGCTGGGTCAGAGTATAATTCTTGAACGAGCTTCGCTCTTATTTCCAAATGCTTTTAGACCATGGGTCCAAAAAGCCATATTAGCTAGAATTTTGCATAAACTGAAGATAAGAAAACTATGAGTGCATGACATTCTTATAAGAAAAATGTTTTGGTTTTTAGTTTCCTAATTAAGTTTTGTTAAATCAATGTTGTCAGCTCTGACTTCTAGTGTCTCTGTGTCACTAGCATTTGATTGCTGAATAAGTATTATTTTGGTGTATTTTAAAGTATTATTATCTGTCACAATATATATGATTTTGGAACTATTTGTAAGTATACTGAAAATTCTATATCTAAAACCATATATACATTTATCATATAGATACACCTATCTATAGTATCTATATCTGTTTTAGATACATATTTTACATATATACATGTTAATGTCATGTTAATGACATGTTGATATCATCTCTTTTCTTTTACATGTTTTAATCTTTTTCTTGCTCAATTCCCTTGACTATTTCACAATGGAAATAAAAAAGAAGTTCTTAGGACCAAATCTTCTATAACCTTATTACACAATTGGGTTATTTCTATTATTTTTTAAATATATGGAAAATAATCTTCATAAGTTCCCTTTCTCCCAAATAGTATATTGTAAATATTCTTATACAATTAAAGATGGGTCAGAAAAAGAATTCTACAAGAAGTAACCCTAAATGAACCCTAGTCTACATAACAAAAGATGTACAATGGTCAGAGATGGCCTGACTGAGGGTGTCGGGTAATTTGGTAATGCTGGTTCACAAGAAATGATGGTTCTAAGGGGCTGCAGGGCTGGAGAGAGTACCAGACACCCCTCTCTGTGGAGGCCACTTTCTAGTAAATGATCAGCTGGTGTTAACCCCTATGGGGCAATTTCCAATATGAGTAATTACTTCTTGTGCATCTAAATCTTCCCTGAATGTGCAGCTGGGAATACTTTCATTACATGTTATTCTTTCCACACCATAAATTAATCCCTACACGTGCTGTAGATCCCCTGTGAATCTCAAAAAGGAGTTGCGAAGATTAATCATTTAATTTGTGTGAATTGTGTGAAAATTGTTTTCCCCTGGCTCTTTGAGAAGCTCAGTATATGCTCAGCTGCACACAACGGAAGTATTTGAACAAATTAATTTACTGAGCAACTACTATGTGTCCGGTACTACGCCAGGCAGTGGGAGAATGAAGAAAATTATTAGACAATCTCTGACTTCAAGGGATTTATTAGCTAGTAACAAAACTGAAATGACATGGTTAGGCCACAACCTCAAATGCCTATGGCCAACGAGGCAGAGCTAAGAGCAACTGTTTCAAAGGCCCAGGCACGCTGCCAATGCTGAGGCCCAGCACATCCACTCCAGCTGATGCTACCGATGGACACGATCACCAGTGTGTCCAGGTGTGTTGTTTAACTCAAGTGAAAATGGAAATCCTGCTTTTTATGTGTAATTAACCAGTTCTCCAATGTTGGCATTAAATTCAAGATTTGTATTTTTAAAACTATCTATCTGTGGGCCAATCCCCACCCACCTATAGGTCACATTCAGCTCCTGAGGACATTGTGAGACCATGGATCTGAAACAGCAACAACAAAACCAGCTAGCGGGATGGTGTGGTGGCTTGTGCCTGTAATCCCCTCAATTTGGGAAGCCAAGGCAAGTGGATCACTTGAGGTCAAGAGTTCGAGACCAGCCTGGCCAACATGGTGAAATCCCATCTCCACTAAAAATACAAAAATTAGCCAGTCATGCTGGTGGGCGCCTATAATCCCAGCTACTCAGGAAGCTGAGGCAGGAGAATCGCTTTAACCCAGGAGGTGGAGGTTGCAGTGAACTGAGACCATGCCACTGCGCTCCAGCCTGGGCGGCAAAGAGACACCGTCTCAATAAAAAAAAAAAAAAAAAACACCAACTAGATATAACTAAGCAGCAAATTAAGCACCAAATTATGTATTATGTACATAATAAATTATGTATTACAAACAAGATGTGCATATATGGGAAAAATGAAACTGGAAGTGGAAAATGCCACAGAAGGAAGACCTGAACTGAATTTGGAAGGAAAATACTATACCTTTGACTATAGAAAATGTAAGGGGAAAAAAACAGTTTGATGACATGTCATGATTAATGATGCTCTATTGCATGCTAATACAATGGAGATTATCCTAAATGATGGAGACATGACCTTCACAGAAAAATCTGGAAGGCACTGCAAACATTGAATAATTTTCATATAAACTCAGATGTGAACAACATCCATGCTCCCAAACATTTCTCCGCTAGTAATAAGAAGATGATTATGAAAATGAAAACCTTGTTCCTTTCAGCTATTACGATATAAAAAGTGGTTATTGTTAATACATTGTGAGATCAAGAGTGTTATACAGACAAGAATGATGACCCTAACATTTGCTTTCAAGATGTTTTGAAATATTTGTCAAGCTGGTCATTGTGTGGAGATGACATTTAAGGATTAAAGGCTCTTTGCAAACTCCCCTCTCCTGGCCATGCCTGGCCTATGCAGGATCCTTTCTAATAAGAAAGGATGCAAATGCATGGGTGGTGACAGGCACGTGGCCTTCTTCACCGTCACTGCTACCAGGAACCGAGGGATCACTACACATGTCTCAGTTGTTTGTAGCCCCTCAGGGTCAGGAAACACCTTTCAAATCCACGTTTTATTTCCTGATCGATGAAATGCAGCCACTGTGGCATATTCATGCATCTCTGCTAAGAAAGAAATAATATTCATGCATCTCTGCTAAGAAAGAAAAGTCAAAAATAGAAGGGGAAAAAAAACTTTTTGTGGGAAGAGAGAAACTGGAACAAAATGGGTTGGAATAAAAGATTGATGAAGAGGTATTCAATGCTTGCAGGGAAAAAACTGGGAAAACAATTGATGTCAGGAAGCTTTAGATAAGACACTCAAGAATTTCATTTTAATATTTATTGCTTGTAGTGAAATTGATCGGTATCTCCGGCATGATGAGGTCATGAAAGAAGAGATTGATGCAGGCAAATTCATTATTTCTGCTTCTGTTCTTTCTGTTTTGATATTAGTCTATTTTCTCCCAATAAACTATCCTATTGCATACCTCCCAACTTTTGCCATTTGTGGTAATGTAATTTTCCTGTCATCTTTTATGAAATACTAGAGTACCCATCTGTTGTACGGGTAGGGATAAAATAGCTTCCTTCAGAAGAAAACACTGACTGTAAACAGCCAAGCCCCATGAAAGACAAGTGAATCTTCTAGTGGTCCTTTATCAGATTATATTTTCTGGTGCCAGGGCAGCCCATCTTGCTTGACCTTTTTTACTTATGTACATGAGAAAAACCGTGGGTCCTAATCAGTCATATGATAATATTCTGGGTTTTTTTTTCCTAGCATAGTTATTCAACTAAGATATTTTAATGCAAATACTCTGATTTCAATTTATTGAAATCAAGGAAATAAACATAAAAAAATGGAAACAAACAATGTAATTTAGTCAGGTATCTTGAAAGATCAAGCACTACATTATGTGTCTCAGAGACTGGCTTCAGAAGTCAGCCGCTGTCCTCAGAGACATGACTGACCTTAAAACGCAGGTGACAATGATACCCCTTTTCCTCAGAGATTGTAGCAAATCCCAACTCAAAATCTCACAAAAACAAATCACAACAACAGAGTCTCACTCTGTCACCCAGCCTGGAGTGCAGTGGCATGATCTCAGCTGGCTCACTGCAACCTACGACTCCCAGGTTCAAGCGATTCTCCTGCCTCAGCCTCCCGAGTAGCTGGGATCACAGGTGCCTGCCACCATGGCCAACTAATTTTTGTATTTTTAGTAGAGATGGGGTTTTACCATGTTGGTCAGGCTGTTCTCGAACTCCTGACCTCAAGTGATCTGCATGCCTCAGCCTCCCAAACTGCTGGGATTACAGGCGTGAGCCAGAAAATCACAACTCTATCCAGAAGATGCTCCTGAATCTGACATCCAGGGGGATAGGATCAGCTGCCTTCTTGGATGTGGTGAAGGGATCTTTATCTCAGCTGTCTTGCCGAATAAGCACATGGAGCTGATTTCGATTGTGCACTGCAGATCAGCAAAAATCTTTCTACTTACACTGTGCGTAAGCTGTATGGAAAAAGTTGTACTGTTGAAATTATTTTTAATATTATCACATTGTAATTGTTAGATTAGATTTTTTTTAACTTTTAAGCTCAAAGGTACATGTGCAGGATGTGCATGTTAGTTACATAAGTAAACTTGTGTCATGGAGTTTTGCTGTACAGATTACTTCATCACCCAGGTATTAAGCCAAGTATCTATTAGTTATTTTTCTTGATAATCTCCTTCCTCTCATCCTCTGCCTTCCAGAAGGCCCCAGTGTGTGTTGTTCCCTATATGTATTCATGTGTTCTCATGACTTAGCTCCCACTTATATGTAAGAACATGCTGTGTTTGGTTTTCCCTTCCTGAATTAGTTTGCTAAGGATAATGGCTTCCAGCTCCATCCATGTCCCTGCAAAGGACATGATCTCATTCTTTTTTATGGCTGCATAGTATTCAATGGTGTATATGTACCACATTTTCTTTATCTAGTCTGTATGAGAATATAGACGGGAAGACAAAGAGAGAGTAATGAAAGATAAGAGCTAAAGTCCCACCAAACCATCTTAATTTTTGCCACCAACTTAGGATACTTCCCTCATGTCACATGTCAACCAAAACTGCAGCTGTCTGATCCACCGTCTCATGTCCAGGCCAGGTGGCCTCTCAACATCTGTAATACCATAATAGCTTCTTCCTTGGATGCCCTGCCTCTACCAGGCCAGTTCCCCACCATAGCCAGAGGGCCGAAGTCCTAGCAGGTGCCATGGTGACGGAAGCAGAGGATGCCAGAAGCAGAGGATGCCAGATGCAGGGTCAGGAGCTGAGGAAAGCAGGCGGCCTGCAGCAAGAAAATGGGTCCCTGGAGCCTGCAGGAGCAACAGCCCTGCCGACACCTTGTTTTCTGCCTGGGGCATTCTGACCTCCAGAAGTCTAAAGGAAGAAATTTCTGTTGTTTAAGTTCCCACGTTCATGGTAATTGTGGGGTGGGGGGAGCGGGGAGGGATAGCATTAGGAGATATACCTAATGTAAATGATGAGTTAATGGGTGCAGCACACCAACATGGCACATGTATACATATGTAACAAACCTGCACATTGTGCATATGTACCCTAGAACTTAAATTATAATAAAAATATATATATATAAAAAAAAGCAGCAATGGGAGACTTTACAGTACTGGATACATGAAGGTTTTATGTACAATTTTTAAAAACTAGTGAATTCAAAACAACTGACATACCTTTAGGGTCAATGAAATTTGAAACAACCACAGCAAATACTTTGTTAGTGTCCATATTATTACATAATTATTAATAACATTAAGTATACCATCTTTTCAGTATTTAAGTGAAAATTTACAATCATTCAGTAAGGAAAGTTTTCTGATGACCATAGCGTTCTTTTTACTTGGTAACTGAAATAGTGAAAACAGAAAATCATAAAGGCTATCTTTTTCCAACAAAGCCCTGACTGGAAAGAAATAACAAGGTCATAGTCTCTGCTAACAAGGGCAACTAACTTTCCTGTAACAGTTGAAGTTTTGTTATAGTGGTTTGAAAGATTGCTGATTTATAACTTTGAGATTTAAAACACTTGCTATAAGAATAGATTTGTTAAAATATTTGTTGTAGCAAAGAAAAATAGCTGTGAAAGATGCTTCCTGGGAGATGGTTTGTACCTGGCAACTCATAATCATTAGCTCACAATGACTTCACTGATCTGGGTCTAATCAAAGCATGAGGAATCTGAAAATCAGAAACATAGCTAAGTTATTCTCCCCTGTAAAATCTATTATACAGGTGAAAATAAAAGTTACTCTAACGACACATAATCTCAACTTGTTTAAGTAATAATAATTTTTTTCCTTTTTTTTTTTTTTTTTTTGAGACAGAGTCTCGCTCTGTCGCCCAGGCAGGAGTGCAGTGGCACAATCTTGGCTCACTGCAACCTCCACCTCCTGGGTTCAAGCGATTCTCCTGCCTCAGCCTCCCAAATAGCTGGGACTACAGGTGCGTACCACCATGCCCAGCTAATTTTTTGTATTTTTAGTAGAGACAGGGTTTCACCGTGTTGGCCAGGCTATAAATAATTATTATGTCATATTCTTAAGACTGCTCAGTGCTTAGGGTGAGAAAGCCTTCCCAAGGGAGGGTCTGTTCTCTCCTGCCTGGTCATAGGGCATAGTACATCTCTCTCCATTTATTTTCTATTCTTTGAGACAATTATTCCTCATGTTCCAATATTCTTTTTCTTTTCACTGTCTTTCTGTCTTGAATAAATCTCCAACATCCCCCACAACTATCCCTTTTAAGTTTCAGATACCCAGACAACAAAGCACATAACCAAGACGCTTGATCACACACACGTGCATGCATACACGTACACACTTATACACCATGCATATATGTGTGTGTTTGCACACAAAAATCTTGCTTCGCAAACAGAAGGCGGCATGTAAATAACTGCTTGGAACTCATTGGCAGATAAAGAAACAGAGGAGATGTCAATTATTTAAGATAACAAATGGGTCTTTTCTCTTAGTATTGCTCCCCTGCCAGAGCAGGTTCAATCTTAAGAATTTTACCTTTATCCCACCCCTCTGCCACTGTTTCATTTTATGGCCTTAGGACTGTCATTTGGCTTTTCCTTGACCAGTTCTTTCCATAAGACTTGCTGGCCTTTGTTTCCTTTCTGATTTTTACTGTTCTCTTGTCCTTGCTGCCCTCACTGTAACTGGCTTCTGTTCATTTCTCCAACCTGTCAAGAGCATTTAGAATCCCATTCCTACCCAGCTAGGTTCTGTTGCCCCATCTGACTTTACGACATCCTCATGCAAGGTGACCATGTACTCTACTCCATCACCCCAGTCACTGACGAAGAGCCCTGGGCACAGGGCTGACCCAGGCGATACAACACCTGTGTCTGCCAAGTTAATGGCATTCCATTATTAATTACTCGTTAGGAGAAATGTGTGGGATGACAGGGGATAACACACACCTCTAACATTCCCAGACATCGAAGCAAGCATCTCATGGGCTTCTGTGGAAGTTCATTTACATAAGTGGTTCTTGATCCTGATCTTGTAGAGGTCATAAAGCCTTTGTGGATCGGATAAAAGCTATGGATTATCTTTTCGAAAAGCTGTGCACACACACATGCCACAGCATTTTGCATAAAATTTCAGAAGATTCAAGGATTTCCCTTGAAGTACATCTCTAGAACTCCTGGAGTTTAGAACATTCAGGTTAAGAGTATCTAGTGAAGGTAATTTTAAATATTGTAGCATCTACATTATCTTTAAAAGAAATGTACACTAGATGCCAGAAGAAAATATAATTTGAAGGATTTTCTTTAATCTAGATGATATCACATATATACCTTAAAAATAATCTTGATTGACCTATGCTCTCAGGCCAAAGAAAGAATTATTCATGCAATCAAATGAAAATGATTTTTTTCTGCTGTAAAAAGTAAAATTATTTTTTAAATTGTGGTAAAGTACACATTTCATACAATTTGCCATCTTACCCATCTCTAAGTGTACAGTTCAGTAGTGCTAAGGACCACAGTTGTGCAGCCAATCTCCAGAGCCATTTCATCTTAAAAAACTGAAACTCTATACTCATTAAAGCATTACACAATAACTCTCAATCTCCCCCTTAACCCAGTCCCTAGCAACCAACATTTTACCTTCTAGTCTCTATGAATTTGGCTACTCTAGGTAGTTCACAGAGTATTTTTCTTTTTGTAACTGGCTTATTTCACTTAGCATCATGTCTCAAGGTCTTTGTTGCTGCATGTGTCAGGATTTCATGCGTTTTCAAGGGCCGAATAATATTCTATTGCATGTTGCATGTATATACTGTATCAATTTTTTTTTATTTTTTTGAAATGTAGTTTTGCTCTTGTTCCCCAGGCTGGAATCCAATGGTGCGATCTTGGCTCACTGCAACCTCCACCTCCCGGGTTCAAGCAATTCTCCTGTCTCAGCCTCCCAAGTAGCTGGGATTACAGGCGCGTACCATCATGCCCGGCTAATTTTTGTATTTTTAGTAGAGATGGGTTTCATCATGTTGGCTAGACTGGTCTCAAATCCCTGACCTCAGGTAATCCACCCACACCAGCCTCCCAAAATGCTGGGATTACAGGCGTGAGCCACCATGCCCAGCCGCTGCATCAGATTTTTGTTTATCCATTCACACATCAATGATTACCTGGATTGTTTCCACCTTTTGGCCATTATAAATAATGCTGCTGTGAACGTGGGTATGTAAAATCAAATTTTTAGCAAAGAAATCTTACTGCTGTGTAAATACTATTGTTTGTTTTAAATTTTTGAAACTTTTAAAAATCATTTCATTGTTAGGCACAACTGACAAAAAGAGAAGTACACAAAACAACTCAATGAGTCATCAGGTAGCAAACAGTCATATCGCCACCACCCAAGTCAAGACACAAAGAAGGTTTCCATGTAGCGCTTGCTCTCTGAGGTGTGTCTACTACACAACACAGAGTTCCCATGCAGAATTAATCTGGTCTCCCCAAGAATGCTGCCAGACAGAGATTAGTAATCCCATGTTCTGGGTTGAGTAAAGGGAAGCTTAGAGAATGTCTTACAAGGTCACATAGCTAGTAAGTGATAGAAATAGGATTCTAAACATCAGCCTTTTTCACCCCACCTCCACATGGGTTGGACTACATAGAGGCCAGCTGGTGCAGTAAAACACATCAATTATATTAAAATTATCCAGAGGTATAAATGTGACTCATACTTGGTTAATGACCACATTGTTTATCCTTTTGATATTCTTCATTGTGACTTCTGACCACTGTTCTAATTTTGCCCTTTAGAGTAATTTAAACAGATGCCTTAACATTTCCACATGCAAGATCCTAAGTAGCTAAAGACCGTGGGCACATCCCCAGGAAGACTCATTCCCAGGAATTCTCCCTAGGTTCTCTCAGGGAACGGCATCTCCAGGCAACTTACTCCCCTGACTGTCCTCTTGTGGTCACATTAGTGTGTTAACACCCCTAGTAAGTAAAGGTATGTCCAGAACTGACACTGAATTTTAGATGTTCACTATCAACCCAACGAACAGTTCATTCACTCATTCAACAAATATTTCTTTAGAGCTTTGCACTATTCCAGACTATACCTCCTCTGACAATGCTTTGATTAATGCAGGGAAAGTCACAGGCACATTTTTCTACTCTTGCCACACTGTTGTCTTATACTGAACATGGGATCAAGTAAAATCTGTATGCGTTTCACAGGAACTACTGCCAAGGAAGGTCCCCAGCATCCTATATTTATATAATTGGTTTTTCGAAATGATCTTTGTGCTGTCTTCACAGTAGATCACCAGGGTTTCATGTGGTAATATTTCAAAATTAGTATTTTGGTGGTTGATCAACAGAATCCAATAATATTTTTTAAATGTTTTTTCAGACTTTAAAAGTTAAATTTTTATATCTGTTTAGAAAGAATCCTTTCCTTCCTTATATGCCTCTCCTTCCTTAAAAACAAACAAATGAAGTGTGTATAATTGTTCTCTGTTGTTATGGTTTGCATCTTATAGCCATGAACTCTAACGACCGACTTCCTATGTGCTAAAAGTGGTAATTGATCTAACTGCATTACAATTTTTCAATATAAGCAACTAGTTATTGAAGTGGCTTAATTTGGCAAGGAAACACCTAATGAGTCAATGGCTTTATTCGGTTAATTCAGTGAAAAGTGCTAATGATTCAGAAAGTTTAAGGAGTTATTGTAAGGCCGCCTGTAGGAAAGTACTAATAACCAAGCTATGACCAACTGCCTCAAAAGCAGGGTTGCCAGGGTAGGCAACTTAGGATACAAAGCACTCAGTGAAATTTGCATTTCAAATTTGTTGTTCATCTGCAATTCAAATTTAACTGGTTGTCTTGTGTTTTATCTAGCAACTCTATTTTGCAGCCTTCAACATAGCAATGATTAATTAACAGGAGATGTTAATACCAGATTTACTTCTCCATGGGCATTCACTACCCACAAAAAAGGTAGCCAACGTATTTTGATGTTTGACTTCTGCAAAATTAGAAGACATAAGTCTTTTTTGGAAATGGCTTAAAAATAGAAGGGGCAGGATAAAACTGCAGATGCCAACTGTCATTTTCCACTCCATCCATTCATTTCATAAAATTATACAGCCAGAAAAAGATCATTTAGTCCAAATCTATTTACTTAGAAATGTCACAAGACCAAGAAAGTATCTTACTTTTCAATAATTCCTCAGAATCTGACTTCGCATCTACTCAACCTATTTCATTTTGGATGCTGTAAGGTCTTCAGAGCTAGAAAGGATGCTGCAGTAAATCTGGCCATCAGGCAGCTAACAAAGAGGGCACACCAGACAGCAGACAATGGGCTAATGCTGGAGATGGCCCTGGAAGGGCATGGGTCAGGTTCTATGATGTCCTGGTGATAGAAGTATTCCAAGGCTGGACAGTTCTGCAAAAGGGATAGGAGCTGGGGAAATCAAGAGGAGCAGTGGCCAGGAAAAATGTGCGTGACTTAGGCATACAAGATGTATAGGACCATGAAAAATGGGAAAGCAAAACTCCATAAGAATTTTTGGTAGGCTGCTAGTTTTTTAAGTTACATTCCACAGCCGGATGTGATAGAGTCCCAGTCATGATACCTCATGTCACTGGCCAACAGGGTTGATTGAGCCACAACCAGGCTTATGAAGTTGGCTTTGCCCCTACTCACTGCTTCAGCTGAATATCTCCCTAAACTGAACATTCTGGTAAAAATGACATCTTCCTAGAAATAAGACCAATTTAAGCATAGGTGAGATTCACAGTCTATAATAGAGAAAACCATAATTTATGACTTTTTATAAGCTAAGTTTATCATTGCTAACACTGTTCTTTCTTTCATGCACACATTCCACCGACAAACAGCCAAAAATTTTAAATAAACCAAAAGGATTCAATACATATTCACAGTTCTAGACTTATTGGCTCTAGAAATTGGGGCCTTTTCCTTTTGTTTTATGCTAATTAGGCTTGAAGTCATAATTTCCCTTAAACACATGAGCACTATTAAGCGCCAATTCTGGGGTATTTAAAGAGTTACAAAGAGAGTGCAAAAGGGGAAAAAAAACATGAATACGACCTCATTCCTTTCTTTAAAAGGATCTCAGTATAGTTAATGAAATAAGACATATTTATATGAAAAGTTGGCATATATTGCCTGTGCTTTTATGTAAAAGCTGCATTAGTATAAAAAACAGTAAAGATTATAGAAATTCAAAGAATCCATATCACTTTTGATAGGGGTGCTCAAAATTTCATTGCAGTAAAAAAAAGAGGGAATTGAACCTGGACTTAAACAGTTAAGATTCAAGTAAAACTGATTATTTGAGCATCTACTCAACGGGGAGAGTAGGCTTATTCACATATATTCTCTAAATTTATGTCATTTCATTCAAACATTAAAGCATATCATTTACCAATAAAGCCTCAACCATTTACTTCTTCCATATTTCATATATAGGTAATGATATGGTTTGGCTGTGTCCCCATCCAAATCTCACCTTGAATTGTAATAATCCTCTCACATCAAGGGCAGGGCCAGCTGGACATAATTGAATCATGGGGGCACTTTCCCCGATACTGTTCCCATGGTAGTGAATAAGTCTCAAGAGATACGACTGTTTTATAAATGTGAGTTCCCCTGCACAAGCTCTCCTGCCTGTCTCCATGTAAGACCTGGCCTTGCTCCTCCTTGCCTTCTGCCATAATTGTGAGGCCTCTCCAGGCATGTGGAGGTGTGAGTCAATTAAACCTCTTTGCTTTATAAATTACCCAGTCTTGGGTAAGTCTTTATTAGCAGCATGAAAACACACTAATACAGGTAATGAGGTATGCTAGTAGAAATTAAGTTTGTACTGTGTTTGTTTTCCCTATGTCTTGGGAACAGATGTATCAGAAACTCACACACTCACTCGATTGGGGAGAAACGTGGGGATTCTCTCTACAAAGAGCACAATCACTGAAAGTAGTCTGCCTGAAGGATAGTGTCCTATTTCAACTTTGACATGTGATGGCTCCTGAGGGTAGAGCATTGAAAAGAAGGCAAAGGATGGTCGAGATACATCCCATTCACCTATTTCCCTGTCTCAAGTAAATGTATATCCTGGGAAGGACAGACAGACATGTAATAGGGAGAAGTGAGGTGGCTGGCTACATTCAGTTCAGTAATTGAATATAGATACAGGTATTGGTTCTGAAGTTTTTTTAACATGGTAAAATATATATATAATCTACCTTTTTAGTCATTTGTAGTTGCACAGTTCAGCTACATTAAGCATATTCACATTGTTGTCCAACCAACACCACCATCCAACTCCAGAAATTTTTAATTTTCCCAAACTAAAACTCCATACCCATTAAACACTCACTTCCTGATTCCTACCCCTCTCCAGGCCCTGGTAACTGCTATTCTATTTTCTGTCTCTAGGAATTTGACTACTTGAGTATCTCATAAAAGTGGAATCATACGATATTTCTGTGTGACTGCTTATTTCACTTCGAATATTTTCCGAGTTCTTCCATGTCATAGCATGTATCAAAATTTTATTCCTTTTTAACGGTGAATAATAATATCAGAATATGAAAAATGCCTACAGCAGCAAAAAGTAAGCCAAATAGATGTGAAGCCAACAAAGGGCCTCCATGTTATATACATACATACCACATTTTATTTATCCACTTATTCATTGATGGACATTTAGCTACTATGAATTATACTGCTATGAACAGTGATGTACAGATATCTGTTCAAGTCCCTGCCTTCAGGTTTTGGGGGTATATACCTAGAAATGAAATTGCTGGGTGATCATCTATATTTCAGTTGTGTGGAACCACCATACTGATTTCCACAGCGGTTGCACCAGCAAAGTACAAGAATTTCTATTTCTCTACATCCCTGTTGAACTTTTTACTTCCTTTTTTGTTGTTTTGATAATAGTTATCCTAATGGATGTGGTACTTCACTGTGGTTTTGACCAGCATTTCCCTAATAATTAGTGATGTTGAGTGTCTTTTACTGAGCTTATTGGCGTGATTATGAAGATTTGAAAGTTACATTTTATAAACATAGCATCAATCCAGGCAGGCCAAAGATATAACATTTGTGAAAGCAAAAACGAATTGAAAAAACACAAACAGGTGACTTTTCAATGCCATTGATCAGCATGCTACATTTAGTACTTAAATACTGAAAAAGAAACTTAAAAATCCAAATATAGAATAAACGGTTAAGTGTATTACGAAGCACTTGTCACAAAAGAACACTAAGTTATAAAAGTAGGAAGACTGGTAGGTAATACACCAAAATGTTTAAGGTGGTTATTTTTAAGTGTGTTTCATAAGTAAGCTTTGTTTTATTCTTTACACAGTCTTCATCCTTGGCACTCAAGAAATATTTCCTGATTAAGTCACAAATTGATTTTTTTATAATAGTGTGTAATTACGAAATAAGAAACAAACATATTTGTTTTAAAAGGAAAAATAAAGTAAACTAGTAAATTGGTTCTGCTGTACATTAGAATTGTCTAGGGAGCTTTTAAAATAATATAAATGTGTGGTACTTCTCTTCATCAAAGATCAGAATCTTTGGGGGTGGAGGAGCCCAAGCATCTGTAATATTAATACACAAAGAAAGTTGAGAACTACTGTTGTGGAAAATAAGAATGAATTAGGCCCTTTGGAAGTGTTCTCTTCATCGTCCGTTGCTGCAGTTGATTAAAGATGAACCACTCAACCAGCCTAAATTGTTGACCCACAAAACCATGTGCAAACTATAATAGCTGTTTTAATGCTCTAAGTTCTGATGTGGTTACTTACACAACAACAAATTATTAACTCACTTAAAATTTTCCCCAATAAGGGCTTATTGTGTGTTAGGCACAATACAAGTGCGTAACATTCATTATCTCATTAAATTGTCCTAACAAACCAATAAGGAAAATACATTATTTCAAATGAAAATAGGCTTGGGATGCTTACACAGTTTGCTCTTTAGCATCCAATTCCAATCACTAATATACTAACATTTGCCTAATATAAATTAGAGGAAATTAAGAGAGACAAATTGCAAGATATTGCATTGTAAATACATAATACATACACAAATACACAAAAATTCATTGTAAATAATTCATCAGCATGCTTATTTTTCAACTAATGTAAACACTCAACATTAGGTAGTCAGTTAGGTATGCCTTTGGCATAACTGAATAATATATATAATATACATTGTACTCATTAGGTAACTTCTCATCATTCATCCTACTTCCACCCACTTACCCTGCCAAGTCCATTGTCTATGACTGCACACTCCATGTCCATGTGTACACATTCTTTAGCTCTTACTTATAAGTGAAAAAATGAGCTATTTGTCTTTCTCTATCTGACTTGTTTCACTTAAGATAATGGCCTCCCGTTCCATTCATGTTGCTGCAAAGTACATGATTCCATGTTTTCTATGGTTAAATATAATTTTATTGTGTATATCTGCCAGTTTCTTTATCCAATCATTCATTGATGGACACTTAGGTTGATTCCATATCTTTGCTATTATGAACAGTGCTGCAATAAACACAAAGTGCAGGTATCTTCTTGATGTAATGATTTTTCCTTTGGGTAGATACCCAGTAGTGGAATTTTAAAACTGTAATAGAAATACAAAAAGCCAAAAAAAAAAAAAAAAAAAAAACCAAGCATTTTAAGATCAAACAAGCAAAAAAAACCAAAAAAAAAAAAAACCCCACAAAATTTCAAGATACTTCACCAAAAAAAAAAATATATGAAAAGCAAATAGGTAAATGAAAACATGTGCAACATCATTAACCATTAAGAATGTGCAAATTAAAACCATTAAGACACCACTACACACCTATTAGAATTGTTAAAAATAAAAAGACTATTTCAAGAATTGGCCAGGATATTGTGCTGCTAATTGGGAATTTAAAATTATATAACCACTACAAAAACAGTTTTGCATTTTCATGAAAGGCTAATCATATACCTCATATGGTCTAGCCATTCCACTCTTAGGTATTACCCAAAAGAAATGAAAGTTTATTATGAAATATTGAAAAAATGAAAATGCATTTCTAAACAAGCCTTGGGTAAAAGAAGAAATGAAAATGGAAATTAATAAAATTCAAAAGTGAATGAAAATGAAGACATAACATAACAAAATTTAGGGGATGCAGCTAAAGCAATATGCAAAGAAAATTTTTTGGGACTAAACAGAAAAAAGTTTCCAATTGTCTTCACATTCCACCTTCACAAACAAAAAATGAAGAGCAAATGAAAAGCAAAGCAAGAAGAAAAAAGAAAACAATAACGATCAAGGTGAAAAATCACTGGTTGAGAAAACAGAACAATAGGAAAAAGACCATGAAACCACAACTTTGTTCTTTTTGTTGATCAATAAAAATTATACTGTCTTGTCAGGCTGATCAGGAAATAAAGAGAAAGGATACAAATTACCAATGTCAGAAACAAGAGAAGTGACAACACTACACATTGTAGAGATACCACAAGGATAAGAGAATATTCTGAGCAATTTTCTACCTATAAATTTGGCAACTTAGATGAAATTTTACAATTCCTGTAAAGGCTAAACACAAGGACCTACTAAATTTCAAGCCAGAGAGAAAAGAAAACTTGAATAGACTTATGTCTATTGAAGAAACTGATACTGCATTAAAAAACCTCAAACGAAGAAAACTTTTAGGCCCAGATGTCTTCACTAATGAAGTCTATCAAACATTTAAGAAAGAAAAAGAAGCAATTCTACACAAATGCTTGAGAAAAGTGAAGACAAGGCAATACTTCCAATTTATTTTTTTTCAGCCATTATTACTTTGATACAAAAACAAGACAAAGATATTGTGAGAAAAGAAAACCGAAAATGAATATTCCTTAAGAACACAGAAATGTTAACAAATAGAATTCAACAATATGTCAAATAACGATACATTGTGACTGAATGGGGTTTCACCCAAGAATGCAAGTTTGATTTAACCTTTGAAAATCAAACATAATTTACCATGGTAAGAGAGTGAAAAAGAGAAATATAATACTCTCATAAGGTTTAAAATAAAAGCATCTGACAAAAATCTGAAGTCTGTCTTATACAGTCCCACAGCAAATTAGGAAAAATAGAGAACTTTCTCAACCTGATAAAGATCATCTATGAAAATCTACAGTTAACATTACATTTAATGATGAAAGATTGTCTACTTTCCCTCTGAGATTGAGGCCTTAATGTTAAGTCTTACAACTTCCACTCAACATTATACTGGAGCTGATAGCCAGTGCAATAAGTCAAGAAAAATAAAATGCATAAGATTAGAAAAAAATTAGAAAATTCCTATTCTCAAATGACTTGATTGCCTCCATAGAAATTTCTATAGAATCTAAAAAATGTCATTAAAACTAATAAGTAAACTTAACAATTATCTCGGTTATAAAGTCAATATACAAAATATCTAAAATTGGAATTAAGAAACACCATTTACAATAGATCAACATATAAAATACGCAAAAATAAATTTACAAACAGTTTGTGTGAATTGTACACTGAAAAGTATAAAACATTGCTGAGTGATATTAAAGAAGAAAGACCTAAATAAATGGAGCAGTATTTGCTCTGGAATTGGAAGACGTAACATTATTAAAATGTCATTATTCCCCAAAGTAATCTACAGATTGTCAATCAAAATCTTAGAAGATGGTGATAGAAACTGACAAGCTAATTCTAAGATTCATGTGACAATGCAGAGAACCTGAAACAGGCAAAAACATTTTGAAAATGTAGTACAAAATTAAAAGACTAACACCATCTGACTTCGGGTCTCATTGTAAAGCTACAGAAATCAAGACAATGTGGAATTGACATCAAGATAAATAAATATATCAATGGAACAAAATGAGGGTAAATTCAAAAATATGTTGACCATTGAGCTTTTGACCAAGTATCAAAGGCAATTTAATTGATAAAGGACGGTCTTTTAAACAAATGGTTCTAGAACAATTGACTATCCATTATAAAAATATGAACTATGGTCTATATCTTGCATCTCTTGCACCATATATAAAAATGAACTTGATTCACAATAGCAAAGACTTGGAACCAACCCAAATGTCCAACAATGATAGACTGGATTAAGAAAATGTGACACATATATACCATGGAATACTATGCAGCCATAAAAAATGATGAGTTCATGTCCTTTGTAGGGACATGGATGAAATTGGAAATCATCATTCTCAGTAAACTATCACAAGAATGAAAAACCAAACACCGCATATTCTCACTCATAGGTGGGAATTGAACAATGAGATCACATGGACACAGGCAGGGGAATATCACACTCTGGGGACTGTTGTGGGGTGGGGGGAGGGGGGAGGGATAGCACTGGGAGATATACCTAATGCTAGATGACGAGTTAGTGGGTGCAGCACACCAGCATGGCACATGTATACATATACATATGTAACTAACCTGCACAATGTGCACATGTACCCTAAAACTTAAAGTATAATAAAAAAAAAATGAACTTGAAATGGATCTCACCAATAAATGTAAAATCTAAAACTGAAAATTTGAAAAACCACTTATAGAAAAAAACATAAGAGAAAATCTTTATAATCTTTGCTTAGACAAGAATTTCTTAGATAATAATACAAAAATCTATAAAAATCTATAAAAGACTTCATTTATTTTGACTGTCAAAATAAAAAAAATTAAAGACTTCAAATTTAAAGATTTTTTTAAAAAGCCAAATATTGAGAGAATATCTTGCAAATCACATATTTGATATATGATATATTCTTGTATCTAGGATATATATAAAAATTTTCAAACTCAGTAAGAAAGCAAACAATCATATTGAAAATACTAAGAAAAAGATTTAAACAAACACTTCATCAAAGAAAATACTTGAGTGGCAAATAAGCATGAAAAGATGTGCAACATTTTTAGTCATTAGGGAAACGCAAAATAAAACCACAATGAGATACTACTACAAACCTATCAGAATGTCTAAAATTAAAAAGGCTAATCATACCAAATACTGGTGAAGGTTGGGAATAACTGAAACTCCCATGCACCGCTTCTGGGAACATAAAATGGTAATCAGTTTGGAAAAGATTTTGGTGATTTTTACAATTGAGACATAAGCTGATCATATGACTAAGCTATTCTACTCCTAGAAATGAAAGCATATGTCTATTCAATAATTAGTACACAATATTCAGAGTAACTTTATTTATAACAGTGCAATAGCCAAAAATGTGATAAAAACAAATGTCAATCAACAGGTAAATGGGCAAATACTGTGGTAAGTCTACACACCTGTATACAGGTGTGCAACTTTCTAGTGTGTAGATTTACCACAGTGTTTACCCACTTACCTGATCATTTGTTTTTATCACATTAAATATACCAGCAACATGAAAAAATTTTAAAATAATTATGTTTAATAAAACAGGCCAGAGTAAGGAGTGCATTCTATATTATTCCATGTAAGTACATTATAGACAATGCAAACTAATCTAGAGTGGCAGGAAGCAGATTAGCAGCTTCTTGAGGCTGGGAAAGAGTGGGGAAGGTGCCGCAAAGCAGCACAGAGAACTTCTTGGGGAATTTCTGTGTTTACTGTCGTTACTGTGGTGATGGTACTGAGGTATACAAAGACACTAAAATTCACAAACATTTATATGCCAGATACATGCAGTTTATTGTATGTTGATTATGCCTCAATAAATCCACATGAAAAGAAACCCAAATTAACCCAAAATTATTTGTAGGGGTAAAGTAAATGCATTAGAATACAGGTAGACAAGGAGATACTGGAAATCTTGAACAGTATCAGTAATGCTTTGCTAAGCACTGGCACAGGGGGTCCACAGGTGCGCAGGGGGTCCACAGGTGCTCAGTTCATAATTCTGCTTCACAACTTGCACACACACTATAAACTCTAGTATATATAAAATAGTAAAAATATTGATCCTTATATACAATTAAAATGGCCTCTATTTCACAATGACAAATATGTGTGTATATGTGTACGTATCTATGTGTAAGTGTATATGTGTACATGTATATGTACTGGAATGTGTATCGGCATGAAGGGGAAGAATAAAAATAAAAATAAAATGACAAAAATGTCTCACATGAACCAATGGCAATATTGTGTCCTAAACTAGTGAGTATGACTAATTCAACTTTTGCATCTGATGTAAAACAAAACAAAACAAAACAAAATTACTACTGTTGCTTTAATCCACTGGGTGATTTCCCAGTAATTTAATTTAAAAAAACTGGCATTAAGAACTAAGCAGAACGAGGATATTTTAATTTGGAAAAAAAAATCCATAAATACACAAGTAATAACATTATTTTAAAATTAAATGACTGATTTCAGAAGGAAATGTTTTCAACAACTTTATTAGTGCTAGAGCCCTCATGCCACAGCTCCTGGAAGACTTCAGGCTCTCAATTTAAGCTCTTTGAATGTAAAGAGAGCCAGACAAACAGCTTTTCTTCTGTAACACTCCATTTGGCTGGTTAACACAAGTTATCGATTCTGGGATTTAGGGTTGCCAAATGCTTTCTTAAGAGCTCTGTGCTATTGACTATCCTCGTTTCCTCTGCACTTCTTTTCTTAGTCTTGGGTAAAATTTAAAACTCTTTGTACCATTTTTCAACTCATCTCGACGGAAACAGCCTCAATTTACTATAAAAATGTCAATGGCTCACTAGTGACCTAACCTCAAAGGATTGGGAACGCTGCCTCAGACATCTCTTTTCTATGTTCCCAGGGTCTACAGAGGCTCTACCACAACAAGATGGGGAAGCCCAGTCTGTAATCCAGCAGGACAGTGGAATGCTACTGGTGAGACCTACAAACTAAGTCTGCAGCACAGTCCTGCAGCTTCCCCGAAAGCTCAGCCCAACAAGCTTCCTGAATTTCACATTCATTTTACACAACATACATGTTAGTAGATATTTTTAACGTACATATGTCTATTTAGGGGAAATTATTAGCATCATTATTGCCAACTTACAAGTTATTATTTTGCAAGTTTTATGCCCTTTAGAAGTGACTTTGTAACAGTTTAAAATATTATTTTCTTTAGGTAAAGAGTCATATTTGAAAAAGAGTAAGTCAAACAAATTGTATACATTTTATAAATTTGTTGAAAACCTTATTCTTAGAGACTGTAAAGCAATGGAGATCTTTGCAAACATCCGTGGTCATGTCTAATGGTGACGGCACACATAATAGCCAATCAGAGCTCAGTAAAACATAAGCCAGCAAATCAGAGGCCGCTCATAGAAGGAGTCCAAATTCCTTTACTGCAGGATGAATAACTTGTAAAATCCTAACATTCACATTCTAATCCTCTGAATGAATGCTGAGTAGGGAGGAGACGAAGCTTAGAAGCAAAAGGAAGCTTGCATCCTTTGATGTCCTCTATTGTTGAAGTTACAACAAATTAAGACAAAAATAATAGTTATGTTAGAAGACAAATTAAATACACGAATCATAAAGTAGAAAGAATTTTTGAAGAAATGATATTCAGCGTTCCCAGGGATTATAAGTCAGGCAAAATTAAGTCATGCAGCATTTTAATGTAAATATTTTGCATGATACATTTACCCACAGGCTTATCCTAAAGCAGTATGTTTGCACTTTTATCATTTGCCTTAGGATGAAAAAAAATCAATGAATTTAAGAGTTTTAAACCTCTTTAATATTTGCACAATATTAGATGTGCTATAATCTCATATAAAACTACCTCCTAGAGAGCTTTTGAGAATTGCTTTTGCCTGGGGTCTCTGGTACTAATACTTCAAGAGATTAGAAACATCTTACTTAAGAAGAGTTTTCTTTTTGCCCATTAAAATCAAACAAGCTTTGTTAAACACTGAGGCAGAAGAGATTCATAAATCAATGATACTCCCCTGAACTGCCCAAGGTTTGCATCATAGATTAAAAACCAATCTCAGAATTGAAAAAGCTACAGTGCCACATATCTGTCACAACACTAATTTACTGAACTTAGGAAGAAAATAACACTAGCATAGATTTAAATAGTTTTCTATGCAATATGCAATGAATCAATGTACTGACTTGCTTGGGGTTTATGAAAACAACAACTGACAATGAATATCATCCTAAGTAAAGAGAGGAGTTATGGTTTAAAATCATGTGACTACACAATTCCTACATTTTTTTAAAGAATAATTTACATCAAAATTTTTCTCTAACTCTACCCTATTATCACAGATTCTTTTCCTTGCATTCTTTTCAATACTATTTATCTGCTATGAATAATATTTCCATGTTTAAAGCATTCTATTATTTTATGACCTAACAAACTCCAGGATTTAAACAATGCTCATCTAACAGGAAATACCGCCCTTCCAATCTAACCTTCATATGCTTTCGTTTTCTTCCTTTTCTTCTCTCTGAACATGGAAAATGAGTGCCATTTCTATGCTGAATATTGATCAGGAGAGAAAAATATATGAGGTGTGAGTTATATTGTGACTACGGTGATTTTCCATCCACTCAGTATTACTTATCGTGTCAATCACTTAATCCTGCAGCATAAGTTCTTTTTTGCTTATGATGGAAAGTTTTGTTGTGTTTTATTTTTTATTTTTGTTTTTTGAAAAAAGACATGAGCAATCTGATTTTCTTTGGACTTCACAAAATCCAAGAAAGAAGATTTACTGAAAATTCATTTCTTAAAAAATGTGAGGTCCTTGACAATGGTCTTCTCTACAGTTTCAATGTTAGGTTTTGAAAATGTGAGGTCCTTGACGACGGTTTTCTCTACAGTTTCAATGTTAGGTTTTGAAAATGTTAGGTCCTTGACAATGGTTTTCTCTACAGTTTCAATGTTAGGTTTTGAAAATGTTAGGTCCTTGACAATGGTCTTCTCTACAGTTTTCAATGTTAGGTTTTGAAAATGTTAGGTCCTTGACAATGGTTTTCTCTACAGTTTCAATGTTAGGTTTTGGTCATCTCTGAGCGTGCATAACATGAATGGAAAGTTTTTTTCGGAGATCAGACCGTTATGATTTTTGGAAGTGTTTCCTGTCAAGGAGAAGCTCATGGTCTCCAAGGTCTTATCTTTCTACTGGGTGGATGGGCCAAGGGAACACGAAGAAGCATAATGGAGCTCTGTCTGAGAGAATCACCAGAGTCTTCCCCAGCGTTTCTCAATGGTCTACAAACAGGTCTGCGGGCTTGGATCACAGACGGAGATCCAAGATGGGCATGGGCATTTACGTGGGCAGGGCAAGCGACGCTGGCCACACTGCAAGGCCCTCAACGTTCCCACGTGAAAAAAGAAATTGTTCCTCAAACAGCACCACTAGGTCGGGTGCGGTGGCTGACGCGTGGAATCCCAGCATTTTGAGAGGCCAAGGCAGGCGGGTCACAAAGTCAAGAGATCAAGACCATCCTGGCCAACATGGTGATACCCCGTCTCTACTAAAAATACAAAAAGTTAATGGGCATGGTGGTGCACACCTGTAGTCCTAGCTACTCAGGAGGCTGAGGCAGGAGAATCACTTGAACCCAGGAGACAGGAGACAGAGGCTGCAGCGAGCCGAGATCGCACCACTGCACTGCAGCCTGGCAACAGAGTGAGATTCCGTCTCAAAAAAACGAACAAACAAAAAACAGCAAAACAAGCACACGTGAGAAGCCCTGCTTGTTCTGTGAACACAGTCATTTCTGCCTTTCCTTCACAGTAATTCAAAAGCATTTACTGAACAACGAATGTGTATTAGAACTTACAAAGATGGGTGAATAAGAAACAGCTCCTTCCTTCAAAGGTCTCCCTATCTACGGGAGAAAAGAGACCGGTAAATAAAGGGCCGTGCAGACGTATCTTATAAGTGCTGAGCTAGCAGCAGGACAAACGAATAAAGGAAGAAATGGCAGCTCTGATATTAAAGCCCTCAGCTCCTCCTGGAAAGAGGAACCAAGCCTTGGTGAAGCTTCAGAGAAGAAGGAACAATTAAAACAGGCTCCAGGGATGAGGAGAATGGACTGGATGGAGGAGGAGCGAGCGGCTGCCAAGGTAGGTGTGCCTCCAAGCACAGAAGGCAGCCAATGGTCATGCCCGGTTCCTGGGCCAGAGAGCAGGGGGGTGGTACCAGGTGGTGCTAGGGCCCCTGCTACATGGCTGGAGTTTCTCTTCTTCTCTAGTTCATTCCATGTTCTAAACACAACAAATCACATTGCCTCCAGGTGTTAGGACCAAGAATATTAAGGTCCTGAACCAAAATGCCAATATTTGGTAAAATGGCATTCCCTCATTTATATATATAAGTGCGTATCTGTATGTGTTCGGGTACTTCTATAAAATCTGCCAGTTTTTAACTTCCTAAATATAATGGCTAACTCTTTTATTGTAGACAAAATAACTAAATAATTGCACAGACATAATCCAACATCATGGGTTTGATTTTCTTAAGGGTAGAACAGCTCCAGCCATATAAATGCAGTGTGTGAGTGAAAATGAGGACGGAAGAGCGGGTGCAGCACGGGGGACCCAGCAGTCCTTGAGCCAAGGTCTGGACCCTCAAAAGCAGTGGACGTGGAAGGTGGTAGCTCCGATAGCCAGTGGGCATATACGCACAGAGAGCCTCACTCTCCAGCTCCAAAGCCTTCCATATCGATGGCTCCTTTTAGCACTACAGGGTCCTAAGGAGAGATGTCAAAAATGTTTAACAACCGTTGCAGCAGTACCGGGTTGGAAGGGACTCCGTAAGCAAGTTCCTACCTCCTGAGCATCAGGTCTGGCCTTGGTGATGGTTTTTCTCTGTCAAGGAGATTTTCAGCATTTGCAGTACATTAATTTTATGCATGAAATTTATCTTCATGTACTGTTCCTTTGTTTATTTTTGAGAGGAATATAAAGGGGAACTAAGAACAAACTTTTGCTCGAAGCCCTACTCTAGAAAGAATTCTAGAGTAACAGGATCTCTAAATTTCAAAGGAAGCCAAAAAATAAAAAAATAAAAAAACTCAATAATTTTGTACATTTTATATATGTTTTGGTAGAATAAAATAAATCCTGTAAAACCACAGAAAGGTAATTTAAGTACTTGGAAATCTATGTCAATATAGCCAAGATAATGGAGGTAAACTAACCTGGATCAGAGAAAACAAAAGTTGGAAAACACTGAGGGATCATCTTGTCGGCCTATCAGAAACGGTATCCAATCTACAACATCACAGCAAGTCAACATCCGATTTCTTCTTAAGGCTTTCCAACAGCAAGAACTTTGCCATCTTACAAGGCAGTCCATCCTATCAATGAATAGCTCTACGTCTTAGAAAGTTCCCCTCAGGAAAGAAATCTGGTCCTCTATACCTTTCATCTATCAATCCAAGTTCTGTCCTCTGGTGTCCTAAAGAGCAAGTCAGGTCTTTTGAAAAAGATGTCTCTTCTCATATTTCCAGTGCTTATCATGTGCCTCTATAATTATGCTCTTTTCCATGGTTTATAAGCACATTGCTGATGTGATGTGGGGTCTCTGCATTTTTTCTTGGTGCTGTCTTGGGAAGCGGCATAGTATGGTGGTATCTTCTGAAACTGCAGACTCCAGGCCCAAATGGGCTGTGGAAAGGGGACCTTCTTTATACATGTACATAAGTTCTGAGCAATAAAAAATTTTATTCTATCTGGTATTTGTGCAGTAGCTTTTTATAAAAGAAAGCAAACAGCTTCACCTTTGTTTCTGTTATATATCCTCCTGTTGGTTCAGCGCATAATTCCAACTATAAAGGCTGAAACTGAATTCTAGATATTGAGTCTGTCACTCAGGGCATCCGTTGTTCCTGCAAGCTCAGAACCAAGTCTGCTATGCATTCCTTCTGTGTTTTGTACAAGCAGATGGAAAATGTCTGAAACAAAAAGAAACTAAACAGGTAGTGCTTTCACATGCCACTAGAGATTTCCTTCTACTTCAACTGTGCCATTGTATTTAAGTGAAGTTCTGGAAGTTACAAATCCCCCTGTTACTCTGCTGTCCTATGAAAGGCTATGAAGAAGGTGCATGTGTGAAAGTGCCAGCTGCTTCACTGACACACTCACCTTCACAGCCTAAGCAAGGGTGTTGATCCCACTTGACACATCAGGAACTCGTGTTGTGGAGGCATTCAACAGCCCACCTAAAGCCACTGAGTGGGTGGGAGGCAGGTGAGTGACTGCAATACAGACCCCAGGGGTCCTTCACTTACAAACACATCAAGAGAAGACACAGTGTTGATGCCCAGATATATCGTTTCAGGTTTTCCATCACTCTATTACGATTTTAGAAATAATTTTAGGCAGGGCACACTGGCTCACACCTGTAATCCCAGCACTTTGGGAGGCCAAGGCAGGCCGATCACTTGAGGTCTGGAATTCAAGGCCAGCCTGGCCAACGTGGTGAAACCCCATCTCTATTAAAAAAAAAAAAAAAATGCCAGGAGAATTCTATCACAAGAAGCACAAGGATGATCTGTGCCCCGCCATAATTCAATCGCTCCCAACCAGGCCCCTCCTCCAGCAATGGGAATTACAATTTAACAGGAGATTTGGGTGGAGACACAGAGCCAAACCATATCAACCATCAATCCTAAACAGTGGGTTTAACTTTCCTTTCAGGTCTCAGAAAAGTACACAGGACAATAAAATATGCCCGCTTCATCATTTCATTTATGTATCCATCCCTTCATTCTTTCATGCTGTAAACAACATAAACTGTAGCTCATTCCTTTCTTCTGCTCTATGAAAACATTTTTACAGCTTCCCATCTTTCTTCCTACTTATCCTTGGTTACTTGTCATTTCTTCAGCATTTGTACTTCCCCTTTCAAAATGTGAGCTTGGTGGACACCACCTAAATTGGTTTTGTTAGATATCACCCCATTTTTCTTTCTGAGTATCATCACATGTCAGTAAATAGTTGGAATTTATTCTTCCAGAACCTTAAATCAAATTCCTTCAGAGGATCTAGACCCTGCCTTTTCTAGAAATGTGGAGGCCAGTTTTCCTAAAAGCCATAGTACGTGTCTGATTGACCTGGCATTTTCTTTCTTGCTGACTGAGACCTCCGTAGCGGTGGGGTTATTGTCTCTGACACTGCAACTCAGTATGGAATATGTGTTCCCCTTGTAGCTTCCTCCACCATTTTTGAGAATGCATGTTAACCAATAAAGTCAAAACTTTAATGACTTTTAGTGGGATGTATTCAGATATTTGTTCATTCAATAAGTATTGATCAATTTCTTGCAAAATGCCAGTCTTGTGACCTATGTAGTTAAAATGTCACCCCTACTCTTCCTTCCCAAGAACTCTGCCATCTGCTCTTTAAAGGTTACAAATGCTGGCTCAGCTCAACCAGAATTAATCCAGGCATGTGGTTTCTTTGGCTAACATGTTGCATTACAAAACGAAGTCATTTCTCCAAAATTTCACATACAAGATTTCACATACAATTCCAAATTATTAATTCCTCTTGAAAAACTGGAAGACAACTCTGAGACTATATATCCATAGGGCCAAAACCAGTGAGAGACAAGCAGCAGCTTCCCCTGCAGAAAGGTTTTATTTCTCCATGTGAATGAAGATAAGTTCTCCAGGAGCAGTGTCAACACAGCACACAACCTGGCCTGCGCCCCTCTCTCTCCTGAGCCCTGTAGGCATCCAGGTTTATACCTCCTGCCCTAAGTAAAGCCTCAATCCTCCTCTCCTTTAGGACGCACATAAATTATTTCTGCCATTCCTGCTCCCTTGGATTGGTAAATTATCGTATCAGTATAAACCCATGCCATCACTAGCCCATATGGCCCTTCATGAAAAATTGGAAAAAGGCACCCTAATTCTACTTTATATCCATCTGTTGGAAAATTGCTGTGAATTACTGATTTTGTCATATGAAGTTACATGGCTTCTTTATCCCAGAAATTTATCATAATAAATAACCAATAGCAAATCTTGGAATCGCACTGTGTGAATGGTGTCCCTCCACATGAGACACTGGCAGGCAGGGCCCAGACAGCACCAACATCCACGACAGCCCCCAACCCACACCTGCTTGTCACCTACTACAGTTCCATCCAATAGCACCACCACCAACACTTCCACTGCCCCACACACAGCTTCATGAAGGCCATTATGCCAAGGGGAGGTTTTTTCCTTCCAACTATTATTTCTATGAAATTTTTTCCTTCTAAAATTTGCTCTCCAAATATTTTACCCTGCACAGGGCTCTACATGCTGCTATTTGAAAGACCAGTAGCAGAATCTTCACTAACCTTCCAAACAGATATTTTGAGATAATATTAAGGGGACTTTATTTCCATAGTTTAAAGAAATATTTTGCCCTGTTACTATACTTTTTCCTATTTTGAATTTTAACTAGAGAAAGAGACCCATATATTCTTGATGTGAAAAGGGACAAGTTACTCTTTCTCTGCTACTCTCTTTTTATAAAAAATAAAGCAAATAAAATGCCACATTAAAATCTTTTTTTTTTTTTTTTTGAAACAGGGTCTCACTGTCCCTCAGGCTAGAGTGCACATGCAGGCACACCTCTTGTCATTGTGCTTCAAGTTGTTGTGCTTTGAAGATACTGCATTTTTTAACAAATTGAAGGTTTATGGCGACCGTGCATCAAGCAAGTCCACAGGAGACATTTTGCCAACAGCCATGTGCTCACTTCATGTCTCTGCATCACATTTTGGTAATTCATATAATATTTCAAACTTTTCCACTATCATTATATCTGTTATTGTGATGTATGATCCACGATCACTGACATAAATATCGTCTAGTTTTGGGGCACCACCAACCATGCCTATATAAAACAGCAAACTTATAAATGTTACATGTGTTCCGACTGATACGCCAACTGCCTGTTAGACACTGTCTCTGTCTTTCTCCTCAGGTGTGCCTCCCTATAGCCTGAGACGCAACTATACTGTATTAGACCAATTAATAATGCTACGACGGCATCTAAATGTTCAAGCGAAAGGCAGAGTTGCATGTCTCTCACTTTAAATCAAAGCTAGAAATGATAAAGCTCAGTGAGGAAGGCACGTTGAAAGCCAAGACAGGCTTTGCACCAGGTTGGCTGTACCAACAAGTTAGTCAAGTTGTGAATGCTAAGAAAACTTCATGAAGGCAATGAAAAGTGCTACTCCAGTGAACACACAAACGAAACGAAAGCAAACAGCCATATTGCTGATATGGAGAAAGTCTGAGTTATCTGGATACAAGATCGAAACAGCCACAACATTCCCTAAAGCCAAAGCCTAATCTAAAGCAAGGCCCCAACTCCCTTCAATTCTACGAAGGCTGAGAGAGGTCAGGAAGCTGTAAAAGACAAGGTTGAAGCTAGCAGAGGTTGGTTCATGAGGATTAAGGAAAGAAACTGTCTCCATCATGTAAAAATGCGAGGTGAAGCAACAAATGCTGCTGTAGAAGCTGCAGCAAGTTATCCAGAGCATCTAGCTAAGATTGGATACACCAAACAACAGATATTCAGTGTAGAGAAAACAGCCTTTTATTGCAAGATGCCATCTGGGACTTTCATAGCTAGAGAGGAAAAGTCAATGCATGGCTTCAAAACTTCCAAGGACAGGCTGATTATCTTGTTAGGGGCAAATGCAGCTGGTTTAAAGCCAATGCTCATTTCCATTAAAATCCTAGGGCCCATCATGCTGAAATTTCTGTGGCCATGCTCTATAAATGGAAAAACAGCCTATATGCCAGCACATCTGTTTACAGTGTGTTTTACCGAATATTTTAAGTGCACTGTTGAGAACTCCAGCTCAGAATATTACTGCTTATTGACAATACAACTGGTCACCCGAAAGATACACAAGGAGATTAATTTTGTTTTTATGCCTACTGACTCAACATCCATTCTGCATCCCATGGATTAAGGAGCAATTTTAACTTGCAAGTCTTATTATTTAAGAAGTATATTTCATAAGGCTATAGCTGTCCCAGATATTGAGTCTTCTTATGGAGCTTGGCAAAGATCTTTGAAAACCTTCTGGAAAGGATTCCTCATCCTAGGTGCTCTAACAACATTCATGATTCATGGGAAGAGGTCAAAATATCAATATGAACAGGAATTAGAAGATTTGGATTCCATCTTTCAATGACTTACTCCTCAGTGGAGGAAGTCACTGCAGATGTGGTAAAAATAACAAGAGAACAAGAACTAGAAGTGGAGCCTGAAGATGTGACCAAATTGCTGCAATCTCATTACTTGAATGGATGAAGAGTTGTTTCTTATGGATGATTTTGTTTTTGTTTTTGAGACAAGAGTCTTGCTCTGTCCTCCAGGCTGGAGTGCAGTGGCCTGATCTTAGCTCACTGTAACCTCCGCCTCCTGGGTTCAAGCGATTTTCCTGCCTCAGCCTCCCGAGTACCTGTGATTATAGGTACACGGCACCACGTTTGGCTACTTTTTTTCTTTTTCTTTTTTTTTTTTAATTGTTGTATTTTTAGTAGAGATGGGGTTTCGCTAGGTTAGGCAGGGTGGTCTTGAACTCCTGACCTCAGGTGATCTGCCTGCCTCGGCCTCCCAAAGTGCTGGGACTACAGGCATGGGCCACTGCACCTGACCTGTAGGTTGGTTTTGAGACATAATGCTATCGCATAATTAATAGACTACATTACAGTGTAAACATAACTTTTAAATGCAGCGGGAAACCAAAACACTCATGGGTTGCACTTTCTTGCTATATTTGTTTTACCGTGGTCTTCTGGAATCTAACCTGTAGTATCTCTGAGGGTGTGCCTGTAACAATACCAGAGTTCATTTTTTCTAAATATACCTTTTGTTAAATCACCACCATTTTCTTAAAAAGCAATATGTTTATGCCAACAACATACTCAGAGTGAGATTAAATTCTTTAAAAGAAGTTGACTTTTTGAATGTAATAAACTTAATATATAATAATTACATCAAACTGCTCTTATTTCTCCTATTTTATCGCTCACCAGTGATTTTGATAATGCCTTCTTCTCCTCACCCTTCTACACAGTTCAAGGCCAGGCCTGCCATTCCTTCAGAGGTAGAGGGCTACACAACTGGTAAGTCCATGCCGAGTGAAGCGAGGGTGGCCAACTCTTCCAGCAAAGAGAGGGGCCCTGGGACTTGAGACTTTAAGTGCTGAAACAGGAAACGTCCTGGGTAAACTGGGGAGGATTGGTCTCACTTAAGGGCAACTAGATTCAAGTAATTACAGTGATTCTGCCACACACCTTGGCTTTCTCTGAGCAGTGCGGCCCATCTCACACTGGAATGCGTGATGCTAAAGAACCTCTACAGGGTAAGCAAGGGCAGCAAGGACAATGGAATAGTTGGGCTCCATCTGTGAAATACCAGAGCAGCAAACAGGAGTATGAGAGGTTTCCATAACACTTTCTGAAGACTGTTTGTCATTTTTCCACTTATCTAATCAGGTGTTTTCATAAAACTCAACAGAATATGTATACAAGTATAAAATGTATACAATGTATACAAGTATAAAATGTTCATATTACTCTATCTTCACCTCTTCTTCTTTTTCACTAGAAAGATGTCACACTCTCAATGCCAATTTCAGTCTATGTTACAGCTACAACGATACCTCCTCTCTCTGGAAGCCTCAGGGGAATGTCTGGGTAATGGAGAGCACCGTATCCACACTTTACAATTTTAAAACTTAAAGCCACACATCTGCGGCACATGACAGTGCCAACTGCCAAGTACTGAACTGACAGAGATTCACACCATAATGCTAATTCTCTGCACAAGGAAGGAATAAAAGTATGTGTCAAAAATCTGAAAATGATTGATGCCTGCCATCTCATCAAGACTGTCTGTCACACGATTTCGATTGATGATTTGAGATTGCATGTGAGCGGGACGCAGGTGCTGCAGGTTGCCTAACTAGCTCAACACTTATTCTCAACAACACAAAGACAAATTAATCTCCACATCAGAATACTTTCCATAAAGTTCATTAGACTTTACTACATCTACAAAAGGCTTGAGGTGGTTGGCCTAATCTCAGGGATACTAAATTCCTAACCATAGAGGACAGCTCAACAAATCAGCCACTTTCAAAGGTACTGGTGAGTCCAAGAGACCCAAAAATGTGAGAAGCAGTGCTCTGGCCATTGTGAAGGCACTGAATTGTTTTCATCACTGGGGGAGAACATATCTACTCTCAGATAAGGATATCCCTGGATTTTCTGGCTGTCCAGTTGAGACTGCTAAGGACTCGGTCAGAGGTGTAATTAGAAGAACAACTTGTGATTTCAGTGATTATTTCTAAAGCACACAGTACTGTTTAAACATGACTCTTATGTATCTTGTGACTACAAATATTGAATTAGTAAACTCTCATCTCTAAAAAGGAACCCCAAATATTGACTTGAAAATAACCACTTTTAGCCACAAGATTATAGATGCAACCTGTTGAACCATTTAGTATGAATCTGCCTAATTAAGCAAGAGGATTTCAAATAACCAAATATTTCTATTATAAAACACAACCCAAAATAACAGTTAAGAAAAGTTATCTCACCTCCCCCATCCTCACATAACCAAGGTATTTGAAATTGTTTTAATATTTGCATAAATATTTAAAAAGTTTCACCTTTAACAGAATAGGTAACTAGACGATGCCTCATCTTTTCTCAGAGTTCAACACATTTGGACCCATTCTTTAGATGAATGCACTTGTTTATAAAAATGTGTGATGAATGTCACTACATTAGCACGTAATAGATAATCCAAGTTATTTTCAGACTTAATCAGTTGTAAGTAAAGTGTGAGGGATTTGAGAACACAGAGAGAGGGCTGGTGGCTCTGCAGCTCCTGGTCAACATGGAAAATATGCAGCATTTCCCGTGGAGCCTCTCAGTCTCGCTGGCAGCTGCAGGATCAGCAGGTCTCGATCCATCATCATTCCTCCTTGGCCCCATACGGGCTGTGAGGACACCTGGGTCTAATAACAGAAGCTAATCACTCGGCAGTCATTTATGAAAGAGACATAGGAATGGAAAGAAAACCAGGAAAAATGAAACAGATGAATACAAAAGTACGCTGAAGAGACTGATGTTAAATGGAATGGGATTATAGGATATTTTAAGAAAATGTGAGAGTATTACAAGTAACAAACTACTTCTAATAGCAAAATATTGCCATAAAAATACATTATTAATGTTACATAATACACAATATTTCATTATAACATATTATAAATGCATCTTTAAATATCTTTAAAGTTTTAAGAGGATAAATCTAAAAATTAACTTTCCGATAAGTTTGGAACATGCATAGAATGTAGAGATTTAACTTTGATAAATAACTCTGTACTAGGACAGTGGCCCGGGAGACAGAAGGAGAAGAAGCATTTGCTCCTGACTTCAAGGTTCTTACCATCTCCAGGAGAGACAAATGTACAATTATAACCACAGCAGGAGATGATAAGGCTAATAGGTAAATCTAAAAGAAGTAGTCTCTGAAAAAGAGTGTTCTCTCCCTCTCCCTCTCCCTCTCCCTACGGTCTCCCTCTCTTTCCACGGTCTCCCTCTCATGCGGAGCCGAAGCTGGACTGTACTGCTGCCATCTCGGCTCACTGCAACCTCCCTGCCTGATTCTCCTGCCTCAGCCTGCCGAGTGCCTGCTACTGCAGGCACGCGCCGCCATGCCTGACTGGTTTTGGTGGAGACGGGGTTTTGCTGTGTTGGCCGGGCCGGTCTCCAGCCCCTAACCGCGAGTGATCCGCCAGCCTCGGCCTCCCGAGGTGCCGGGATTGCAGACGGAGTCTCCTTCACTCAGTGCTCAATGGTGCCCAGGCTGGAGTGCAGTGGCGTGATCTCGGCTCACTACAACCTACACCTCCCAGCCGCCTGCCTTGGCCTCCCAAAGTGCCGAGATTGCAGCCTCTGCCCGGCCGCCACCCTGTCTGGGAAGTGAGGAGTGTCTCTGCCTGGCCGCCCATTGTCTGGGATGTGAGGAGCCCCTCTGCCCGGCTGCCCAGTCTGGAAAGTGAGGAGCGTCTCCGCCCGGCCGCCATCCCATCTAGGAAGTGAGGAGCGCCTCTTCCCGGCCACCATCACATCTAGGAAGTGAGGAGCGTCTCTGCCCGGCCGCCCATCGTCTGAGATGTGGGGAGCGCCTCTGCCCCGCCGCCCCATCTGGGATGTGAGGAGCGCCTCTGCCCGGCCGCGACCCCGTCTGGGAGGTGAGGAGCGTCTCTGCCCGGCCACCCTGTCTGAGAAGTGAGGAGACCCTCTGCCCGGCAACCACCCCGTCTGAGAAGTGAGGAGCCCCTCCGCCCGGCAGCCGCCCCGTCTGAGAAGTGAGGAGCCCCTCCGACCGGCAGCCGCCCCGTCTGAGAAGTGAGGAGCCCCTCCGCCCGGCAGCCGCCCCGTCTGAGAAGTGAGGAGCCTCTCCGCCCGGCAGCCACCCCATCTGGGAAGTGAGGAGCGTCTCCGCCCGGCAGCCACCCCGTCCGGGAGGGAGGTGGTGGGGGTCAGCCCCCCGCCCGGCCAGCCGCCCCGTCCGGGAGGGAGGTGGGGGGGTCAGCCCCCCGCCCGGCCAGCCGCGCCGTCTGGGAGGGAGGTGGGGGGGTCAGCCCCCGCCCGGCCAGCCGCCCCGTCCGGGAGGGAGGTGGGGGGGTCAGCCCCCCGCCCGGCCAGCCGCCCCGTCCGGGAGGTGAGGGGCGCCTCTGCCCGGCGGCCCCTACTGGGAAGTGAGGAGCCCCTCTGCCCGGCCAGCCGCCCCGTCCGGGAGGGAGGTGGGGGGGTCAGCCCCCCGCCCGGCCAGCCGCCCCGTCCGGGAGGTGAGGGGCGCCTCTGCCCGGCCGCCCCTACTGGGAAGTGAGGAGCCCCTCTGCCTGGCCACCACCCCGTCTGGGAGGTGTACCCAACAGCTCATTGAGAATGGGCCATGATGACAATGGTGGCTTTGTGGAATAGAAAGGGGGGAAGGGTGGGAAAAGATTGAGAAATCGGATGGTTGCCGTGTCTGTGTAGAAAGAAGTAGACATGGGAGACTTTTCATTTTGTTCTGCACTAAGAAAAATTCTTCTGCCTTGGGATCCTGTTGATCTGTGACCTTACCCCCAACCCTGTGCTCTCTGAAACATGTGCTGTGTCCACTCAGGGTTGAATGGATTAAGGGCGGTGCAAGATGTGCTTTGTTAAACAGATGCTTGAAGGCAGCATGCTCGTTAAGAGTCATCACCAATCCCTAATCTCAAGTAATCAGGGACACAAACACTGCGGAAGGCCGCAGGGTCCTCTGCCTAGGAAAACCAGAGACCTTTGTTCACTTGTTTATCTGCTGACCTTCCCTCCACTATTGTCCCATGACCCTGCCAAATCCCCCTCTGTGAGAAACACCCAAGAATTATCAATAAAAAAATAAATTAAAAAAAAAAAAAGTAGTCTCTGATTTTTGCAATTTTATTTCGTGAGAACCAAGAAAATCAGAAAAGCTCTCTAATTCTATGCATTTTGTCCCAATTACTCAGTTTCTCTATTTCAAGTAAATTGGATATAACACTTGAATAGGATTCTGCCTTGATAAGTATTTATCCAACCTTATTCTAAAGTTTAATTCATTGTTCTGAAAATTGGATGAAAAAAGTGAACTTCTTAAAGGTTTGTGAATAAAAAATATATAGTCAAACCATAATGAAATTCTTCCTGAATACCAATGTCTAGACATTTCCCTGTAGAAAACTGGCAGATATCTAATAGAGTATTGCTTCTGAAAATTAACTGTGTAGTTCTGTGGTACAAAATCACTTGTAAAAAATCTCCTGGTGTCAAAACAGCATGGAACTGGTACCAAAACAGATATATAGACCAATGGAACAGAACAGAGGACTCAGAAATAACACCACGCATCTACAAACATCTGATCCTTGACAAACCTGACAAAAACAAGAAATGGGGAAAGGATTCCCTATTTAATAAACGGTGTTGGGAAAACTGGCTAGCCATATGCAGAAAACTGAAACTGGACCCTTTCCTTACATCTTATACAAAAATTAACTCAAGACCTAAACGTTAAGACCTAAAATCATAAAAACCCCAGAAGAAAACCTAGGCAATACCTTTCAGGACATAAGCATCGGCAAAGACGTCATGACTAAAACACCAAAAGAAATGGCAACAAAAGCCAAACTTGACAAATGGGATCTAATTAAACTAAAGAGCTTTGCTCAGCAAAAGAAACTATCCTCAGAGTCAACAGGCAACCTAAAGAATGGGAGAAAATTTTTGCAATCTATCTATCTGACAAGGGCTAATATTCAGAATCTACAGGGAACTTAAACAAATTTACAAGGGAAAAAAAAACATCAAAAAGTGGGCAAAGGATATGAACAGACACTTCTCAAGACATTTATGCGGCCAAGAAACATATGAAAAAAAGCTCATCATCACTGGTCATTAGAGAAATGCAAATCAAAACCACAGTGAGATACCATCTCATGCCAGTTAGAATGGGGATCATTAAAAAGTCAGGAAACAACAGATGCTGCAGAGGATGTGGAGAAATAGAAACACTTTTACACTATTGGTGGGAGTGTAAATTAGTTCAACCATTGTGGAAGACAGTTTGGTGATTCCTCAAGGATCCAGAATCAGAAATACCATTTGACCCAGCAATCCCATTACTGGGTATATACCCAAAGGATTATAAATCATTCTACTATAAAGACACATGCACATGTATGTTTATTGTGGCACTGTTCACAATAGCAAAGACTTGGAACAAACCCAAATGGCCATCAATGATAGACTGGATTAAGAAAATGTGGCACATATACACTGTGGAATACTATGCAGCTATAAAAAAGGATGAGTTCATGTCCTTTGCAGGGACATGGATGAAGGTGGAAACCATCATTCTCAGCAAACTAACACAGGCACAGAAAACCAAACACTGCATGTTCCCACTCATAAGTGGGAGTTGAAAAATGAGAACACATGGATACAGGGAGGGGACCAACACACACTGGGGCCTGTCAGGGGGTGGGGGGATGGGAGTGGATAGCATTAGGAGAAATACCTAATGTAGATGATGGATTGATGGGTGCAGGAAACCACCATGGCATGTGTATACCTATGTAACAAACCTGCCTGTTCTGTACATGTATACCACAACCTAATGTATTAAAAAAAAAAAAACTCCTGGTGTCACTTCGGCCATTCAAAGTCAAATGTTCTTCTAAATCTAGGTATTCATTAAATTAACATTGTAGAGGGTTTGCTTTTTAATGAAATAGTTTTTTTTGAAACCTCACTAATTGGTATAGTGACTCTTGCATGGCTCTTCCATCGGTATACATATTTAAGTTTGAATTATTGCTAAATCCTCTTTGTGAATAACTAACTTGGCCTTGTTCTTTAGTTCTGTGTCAACCTATTTGGTAGAAAGTGGCAAAAGTAGAGGCAAGAATATTTCAAATCATGCAAGTGATGCTGAACTCAGTTTCTGTCATATATTTAAGCACATCTGATTATGGCCAACGTTTCCCTTCAACTTTCACTCTACATGATTGCAATATAGTTTTTCCACGAGTAAGTGAGAAGTGCAGATAATACTTTCAAAACAAAACAAAACAACGTTGGTGTTTAATAAGACCCTGAATAAGCTATTGATCTGTGAATTAGCACCAGGCACGATGTGAAGTAGTTTACATATATTATCTCATATCACCTTCTTAATAACTTAATGAGGTGCTATTATGATAAATATTATAGGGTGAAAAGGACTAATCATTAAGAAGTCAGGTCACTTGCCAAAGTTTACATAGTAAGTAAGTGGTGGACCTGGGATTTTGACTCATTGATTAATTGACACGACAAATAATTAAGTGTCTACTATGCACCATGCAGTGTGCTAGGGAGGGAAGAATCATTTACTTACTCCTCAGTGACTCTAAGGCAGATTTAAGGCACGGCTTCTCTAAGCTCTTGTGTTGTCATTTGCCGCATGACACAGACATAGAAACTAGAGTGATTTTCCTCCTTGTCAAGCCCAATCATGGTGATGATTTTAAAAAATATTATTAATGATTACCTTTGGCTTCTAATCCCTAACGTGATATACTTATCTACTGATTACAGAAATCTTTGCTTAGTTTTATTTTCCAAGCAAACACAAAATATGATGGTAGGAAAAAAGAGTCCAGGTTGCTCCTTTCATAAAATCTTATTCCTAGGTTTCTCTCTTGTGGCACTTTAAAAAAAAGTATCCATGAAAGCCAAGGATTGATGTAAATAACCATTAGGAAGAGCTTAATGTTGACAAGTAGAAGTCGAGTTTGTTTTAGAAAAACAATAGGAAAACCTGTTATATACTGTCTGCAATGCTAAATAAATATTTCTCATCAGAAGAAATATCTGCTTATTACATTTTTGTCTTCCTGATTAGTATGCTTTATTCCTGACATCAACTTGAAAAAAGATGCAATAAATGAGAAGTTTAAATAACACAGGTATAAGACTGTTAACCTTGGGATCAAGGGATTATTTGTTAATATTTTTAAAATGATAATACCTTTATATTAAGGCTAGGTTCTAGACGCACCTCACATTCTCCACCCCTTTCTGGCTTTGCAGAAGCCATGACTGGGTCTGTGGAATAAAGCCTTAGCCATCCCGTGTGGTTGTTGTTTGCTACTACAGCAGTAGCCATAGCTCTTACCCTCCCCTAGGAACAGCAAGTTGCATTGCTATCCTGGTTTCCCAGAAACAGTAATAAGAAAAGAGTAGGAAGTATAATG